>NC_000004.12:114678956-114830471 GCF_000001405.40 Homo sapiens
AGTATAATTCATATTTCATTCTAGCTTCTAAGTAATTCAACCAGCTTGTAAATATTAAATCACATTAAAGAATGGTTATTTGCAGTTGATATAATCAAAAACAGTCTGAAATAGAAAAATTTTACATTTCATATGATGAAGTTTGAGAATTATAGGAGTCCTATTATTGAAACTTCTCCAAAATATGCATTAAAGAGCTGCTTATCATGCTTCCAAGATGGTAACATTTTAGCCAGCTTTTGAAGACATGTATTTCATGTGAAGATACTATTGATATTTTTGACAGCAAAAACATTTTTCCAACAAATTTAATTAGAAGGGTCTTAGATGTCCACACAATTAAAGTATTCATATTGTCATTTTTCTACAAGTCCTGCAAAGTGTTAAAAATCCCCGATCACTTGGGTGTTTGGGTTGCTGAGTTGGGGTTAGCAGGGCAGGTAAGGAGTATTGGTACCAAGACTCCTAACTTTTAAAATATGGAAACCAAAGGCACACAATACTTTTATGACTCATATCTTCACTTTTGGGTAAGGCAGACATGATGTAAGAGAGAATTCATTTATATTGTATCCTGCAAGATTAGTGATCTTCCTTATTATACATAAAACCAGCAGATTATTTTCAATAGAGTAGTATATAATCCAAGTTCAGACTCTGAAAAATCAGAACTACTTGTAGAATTATGTTATTCAAATAAAACAATTATAATAATGTCCATCTACTCAAAGAAGTCCAACATCAACATTAATCTCAGGTAATATATTATCTCAGGTTTTTCATTTATTAACCAATAAAATCTGAAGTTCTTGCTGAATTTTATAGAATTGAAAGCATTTTATTTCTGTGTTAGTTTCTATCTATAATTAGTTTTACTTTTCAGTAACCCTATTTTGTGCAGTGATTATTCCATATTCCTGAGAGCAGAGGTGACCAGTTCCACTGTGTCAATTTAATATTTACTTACTTAATTAATTTATTTGGAGACAGAGGCTCGCTCAGTAGCCCAGGCTGGAGCGCAGTGGCACAATCCCAGCTCACTGCAACCTCCGCCTCCCGGGTTCAAGCAATTCTCCTGCCTCGGTCTCCCGAGTAGCTGGGATTACAGGCATGTGCTACCACGCCCAGCTAATTTTTGTATTTTTAGTAGAAAAAACAAATGCTAAAGACATATATTAAGTTGAACAAAAATATGTATTATTAATAGCATTTATATATATTTATATGTGTAGTTAGCATTTAAATTATCCTCGTAATTCTTTCGAAATTTGATTTTTAAAAAATTTAAAATGGTCTCTCAATTTTTTTAAAAGAATGACAGTATTATGAACTTTTTGAAGTCTTTTAAGAAACAAAAACTATCTTTTTTAAACTAAATAAAATTCAAAAGGACTAGTAAGTTTAGAAACTTGGTCAGATGTACCCTCTGTAACACTTCTTACTAAAATATTAGGAATAAATAGGATGAAATTGTTACAAAATAAAATCAAGTCACTGCTTTGAATGTATTCTTTCTTGTACTTCCATCTTCTTACTCTAAAATGGAAAACATTTTGAGATTTAGCAATTTAAACTACACTTATAGTATAAATAACATTTTTCTTACAACTGACAAATGACTTCTCATTTGCAATCTCAAAGATGAAGGCAAGAAAGAAATTTACTTTGGGTACCTCTGAATAAATTTTATGAATCCAAGAGAATGGATACACCAGTTGCACCATTTGAGAAAGTGCAATTAATTTCGAGTTTGAATATGCCATACTCCAGGTCCAGATTTCATACTACTGACATGACACAACCTTCCTTACCTGTTCTCTCCCATCTTCTTGCTTCCAAGCTTTCAGTTTCCTCTCTTGGGTTTTCTATTACCCTTAGGTATTTTCCAAGCTGCCCTATCCTTTTCAAGTTTATGGTGCATAGATTGTGCCTGTCTATCTAATGTGTATCTAATGATTTTTTTTTTTTTTTTTTTTTTTTTTTGAGACAGAGTCTCACTCTGTTACCCGGGCTGGAGGGCACAATCTCAGCTCACTGCAACCTCCTCCCTCCCAGGTTCAAGTGATTTTCCTGCCTCAGCCTCCTGAGTAGCTGGGACTACAGACATGCACCACCACGCCCAGCTAATTTTTGTATTTTTAGTAGAGATGGGGTTTCACCATGTTGGCCAGGCCCAGGCTCTTCTCAAATTCCTCACCTCCAGTGATCTACCTGCCTCAGCCTCCCAAAGTGCTGGGATTACCGCTGTGAACCACCATGCCCAGCCAGATGCCTTTGTTTTTTAACAACGTGGAAATAAAATAAATTCCAACACTGTAATTTACAAAGGCGAACTAAGAAAATATCTAGCTGTTTTTTTAAAAAAATGTTTGATCTGTACTAGATGAATGCCATTTAGGATGTAAGATCAAAAACAGTGGATGTGCATATGGTGCTTCTTATGGGTATTGGGAGGAGGGCTACCACTGAATGAGTTTGCACTCCCTCAGGGCACTGTGTGACGCTCTGGATATGGCACTGAATGAACTGTTTGGGGCATAGCTCAATGATCACTAAACTATCAAGCCACATACAATCTTCTTATCCCCAACTTGGTCAGCTAAAATTTTTAGACAACTACCTTGTACAGATAGAGACGTTGGTTTTCCCCTGTGGAAGCCTGTCTCAAACATTCATTCTTGGTGCTCCTAACAGGATCCTTTTGTACCAGAAAATGAGTACTGTCTCTGGTTCTGTAACATCACTCATATCTCTAATGTTAAAATGTGCTAGAACTGCAGCCACCTGTCTGCTAGAGCACGAGAAAAGCCCAAGACAGAGAGGTGGCAGGTACTCAAAAATGTATCTGAAGCTAGGATTGCAGCAGTAATTGTCTTTCCTGTAACAATGAACAGAAAGGTGTGGATAGCAAAGGCAAGGACGACCTGGGAAGGAAGCAGCAGTGAGTGGTTACAGATCAAACACTACCCAGAATTCCTCTCATACTTTTCAAAATGTATTTTTATTCCACCTGGTATATTTCAGTGATGTTCTGGGGAAGCTTATCTGAATTGGATAGGTGGGTCCCTCAACTATGCAATCTATGTTTTGGAATGGTCATCCATCTTTTTTAAAATTATTATTTCATCAGAGATAAGGTGGGAAGGAGCAAAAATCAAGCAAAGACCTTTAAAGGTCTTGAATGTAAGACATAAAGATGTCAGTGGAATTTGGCAAGTGCAAGACTTTGGCAATATCTAGGCATCTATAGGCATATGGGCCACATTATGTCATACATGTTCTATTGATGCAGATTTCAAGATAAATGGGTGTCCTACCTGAGAATGTGGCTATACCACTGGAAGTGTAGGTGGCATCAACTCACATGTTTGTGCATATCAAGACAGAAGGTGCAGAACATCTCTCTGCTGGCTATCATTTCTTATATCAGAGGTAAATGACAGAAATTTAAATATTTTTTTGTTCTCCAATCATAAATAAATTTAGCATTAGGTGACATGGAATTTTATTTTATAGTTGTGTGTTCTATTTATCTACCAGCTTTCAGATGCCAGGTCTAGTATGTTTGCTGTTCCTCACTGGTTAAGAAACTGCCCCTAGATATGTACAGTAAATCTGTTCAAATTACAACATATTCTGTGAAAACTAAATAGAAAAAAAGCAGATGGGGGAAATAGTACAATTTTAAAAGGTATTTTAGATTCCTTAAAATTTCATCCAATTTATGTTGCTTTAATTTCTTATTTCTGTTAAATGAGTAGTAGCCTTACATCACCACTTTATAATACTCAGGCTTTAAAGTTTAACAGTATTGGCTGGGCGTGGTGGCTCACGCCTGTAATCCCAGCACTTTGGGAGGCCGAGGCAGGCAGATCACAAGGTCAGGAGATCGAGACCATCCTGGCTAACATGGTGAAACCCCGTCTCTACTAAAAAAATACAAAAAGAAATTAGCTGGGCGTGGTCGCGGACACCTGTAGTCCCAGCTACTCGGGAGGCTGAGACAGGAGAATGGCGTGAACCCAGGAGGCAGAGTTTGCAGTGAGCCAAGATCGCACCACTGCACTCCAGCCTGGGCAACAGAGTAAGACTCCGTCTCAAAAAAAAAAAAAAGTTTAACAGTATTAAGAGTGTCATCCTAAAATCCTATTATCAAGTACAAAAGGAGACTAAATAATGTGCCTTTCCATAGCCTGCAAATAAATAACCCATTTATTCGTGCAATTAAGCAATGATTGTCAGTTTTTAAAACTCTAATTATCCTTGTGTATGGCTTGAGATGCCATGTTTATTGCTACTTTTCAGGTTTTTCTATAAACTTTTGTTTTGGATTTCAATTATAAACTAACAATTGAAAATGTGGGTTGCCTGTTAATTTTGGGCTGTAATGCAGAACATTGTTCAAGACTATTTGTCACTTGACCATTATTGATATTCCGGCCCTTGAATCCTCTTACCAGTCAGCCCAAATGCTCTTATTAGTTCCAAGTAGGAGTACATCTTGTTATTATCAGCATCAAATAGCTCCAGTTGTTCTTGTTGGGGTGTCTCTGCTCCTAGAGGGCTCTGGATTTCACTGTAAGTTAAATAACCATTTGCTTTGTTGTCAGCCCATAGAAAAAGACTTGAAGGTCTATGAAAATAAAAAAGTTTGGTATATTTCAACTCAAATTTTCAATGTTAACCCAAACATCTACACCTTTCAGAACAGCATTTTGTCCTCCTGGGGCTGGTCTTCTTTCCGGTCCTCAAACATACCTAGATCATTTTTTGCTTCCACCTTGGCTTTCATTGCACATCACTTTACCACTTCAGTTGCTCCTTTCCTTTCTTTCAACATCCAGTTTACCTCTTTTCTTCATTCTACTTGAACTATCTGATCATTTACTTTAATAATTTTTCTTCTGTGATCTGTATCCTCATGATGTTTTATATCTAATCTAGTGTTTTCGTTTTCTGTTTGCCTCATTCCTTAACATAAGCACTGTAATGGAATATTCTTCTTCACTGGTAGTCTAGTTTTTGATATATTCATTGGATCTTCTTTCTCTCCTAAAACTGTTTAAAAACTTCCATCTGGCTACATTTTAATGGCCTTTTTATCACAGTCTTTGCAGTTCCCTTGTTTACATTCATTTGCTACCTTCTGTCTAATATTTCTTAATATTACATCAAAAGATACCTACTTATTTGGCTAACAATTCTGAACATACTGATATCTCTTACACTCCTAAGTTAGTAAAATTTATTAGTTTATACAAAATCATATGTTTCTTCATTTGTAACACCACCAAATAATATTCCTTTGTCAGTATTCTTATTATTCTCTTGATCTCATTGCTTTAAGTACTGCCTTTATTAAAACACAAACAAACATTGTTTTCTGTTTCCGAAGTGCCAGGCTCTGTACGTAATACTGGAAATGCTGGGATGAAGAAGCCATAGTTTCTGACTTCCAGGGGACAAAACCAGCAAGTAAGCAGTTTCAATAAGCGAAGGAATATATATTGTAATATAGGTACAGACAATGTGCCATTGAAACAGAGGAAAGTGAGAGAAGTTTCCACCTGGGGATTGTTTCAGTTGAGTCAAAAAGAAAAAATAGAAGCTCACCAGGTAAAGAAATACATAGAGATAATTTTTGGAAGGCATGACCCTATGGTCAAAGGCATTGAGTTATGGAAGAGTGTGGTACATTGGGGAACTGCAGGTAGTTTGCTCTGATAGGAGTATACATGATGAACAGATGTGACCACTATGCTAAGCAAAAACAAACAAACCAACAAAAAACTTTTCTAACTGACCTCAGTCTTACTTACTTTTGGCTCTTTATTACTGTAACACAATCTGCTTTGCATTAACTATTCAGTAACTTTCCCCAAGATACCTGTTTATGTTCCTGAGTGTTCGATACCTGGCCATATGGCACAACTTTCAAAACAGCTGGTGTTAAGCTTCTTGTGTTACAGATGATTTGATGTAATGTAAAGGCTCTCTATTGAAGCTAAATTGTAGATAGACAAAAGGATAGCACTCAAGTTTACTTATGCTTGGCTTAGGAAATCTGCAAAACAGTTTTAGTGTGTACAGCTTCTTCTTAGCTAGTTTGCAGAAGAGAAATGATAATTTTTTCATCTTAAAATATGAAAAGGAATATGATCTGGTAATAAAAGAATCCAGCAATTGCAACAATTTATAAACCATTTTTTACTTAACATAGTAAATAAATATAAATGCCTAGGAGTACTGACTGACAGCGTGTTCAAGATAACAGTGACAGGCCGGGTGCAGTGGCTCACGCCTGTAATCCCAGCACTTTGGGAGGCCGAAGCGGGCTGATCACCTGAGGTTGGGAGTTTGAGTCCAGGCTGGCCAACATGGTGAAACCTCCGTCTCTACTAAAAATACAAAATTAGCTGGGCATGGTGGTGGATGCCTGTGATCCCAGCTACTTGGGAGGCTGAGACAGGAGAATCTCTTGAACCTGGGAGGCAGAGGTTGTGGTGAGCTGAGATCCCACCACTGCACTCCAGCCTGGGCAACAAAGTCAGACTCTATCTCAAAAAATAAAATAAAATAAAATAAACAGAAAAGAAAAAGAAATAACTGTGACAGAGTAAGTATAATATTATAATTATCTAGGCAGTCATGAATTAAATAGGTGTGCATGGGTTACTATATAATGTTGTCTCTGGTATAGAAAGAGAAATTACTACATTAAGGAGTTACTATACAAGAAATATAATAACCAAATGTCATATATTTTTTAGAGATTTTAACTCTAGCCATACACATTATTCAATTAGCACTTGCTTCTTCCTGCAATTTTTGGTTTTGCTTGAGTAGTTATTACTCTATTTTTATTAATCTCCATTTCACAAAAGTATGCATTCCAAATACCAAACCCACATCCCAGAATTATATCAAATGTGGTTTCTAAAGCTTCCCAAATGTTTGAAAGGAAAGGGATGGGTAAACCAAACTTTTGTATGGCTGAAGGAACTGAGAGCAATAATGAAGTGTGGTAAAATAAGTAATCATGACATTTGACTATTAATTTAATAGCTCTCTTTTCAGATTCATTATCTTTTCTCTACCAACAGGTAAATAACACAGACTGTAAAGTAATAGAATTAGGAAAAGTTTCAGGTTTGTGTGTGGAGCCCCTACAGATACAGTACCTTCTAACCCCTTTTACAAAGATTTGATTAGATTGTTCTAGCTCATTGAGTCTATTATATCCTAGGAGCTGGCAATAATCAATACTCCTCCTCCTTAGGGATGAAAGAAAATGATTTTTCTTCCTTGATCCTGATTCATTTTGGAGAGAAAGTGAGAAAAGGAGGCCAGGAAAGCAAACAACCTTGAATTTTCTTCCACTAGAGGCAGATGATGGTATAATCAAATAAATTAAAAACTGCAAACATAGATTTTTTTTTAATCCATATTCAAAAAATGTTTCCATATTAAGCCCAGAGCTACATTTATATGAGGATTAAAAAAATAGGATTTAACTGATAGGTAACACAAGATGAAGTGGGAGAATTTAGATTGGTTCCATGCCTCTACAATGAGAAGTCATTTAGATGTCAACTCTAAGAGAACATTTGTTACATCCCCTATTGCTTCTCCCTCTAGGATTTTTGCTGAAGTTCTTTTGTCCAAGAGGGAATCAAAAGCTCCTTCCCTTCAAATCATGTCAACCATTTTCTTCTAAAAACAAAAGTAAGAAATACAAACTACTGCACACAAATAATATTTAAATAAAAAATCAGAAAGTTATCACTGACTTATTTTATACTTGCTTTAGAGAACTTAAGCTAAATCATTTGCATAGGATGTTCTATGATGGGTGACTATTTCATGCTCAGGATGCCTGCTCTGTGGCCAACATTTATTGAAGGTCACACCTTAATATACTTTTCTGTTTAAGGAGGTTGGACTAGTGGCCTTGAAAGTCCTTCCAATACTGGGTGGGCCATCTGACAAATTAATATCAAGTTCCCACGGTTTTGTCCAAGCCCTTGACTTTTCCTTCCTTCCTCTTCAGTCAGCAACTCCATTCCAAACCTAGGTCTTTGCATCACCCAGGGTCTCCCCACTTCTGAAATACTCTGCTCTAAGATTTCCTCTCTGTTCTTAGCCTCTTAACATTCCAGTTCCCATTCCCACTACACTCTATTAATGTTCAGCTCATAACTGCTCCTTTTTTTTTCCCTGTCAATCTAAAAGATTCCTCCTGGTTACATTTTATTTGATAATCTCTCTGGGCCTTTGATCTCTAACTTAAGCAGTTCTATTGTCTACACCCACAAAACTTGACTCTACTTTCCTGCTACACTCAATGAAGCAAAAGTCCAATCCTGGATAACCACCTGTGTTCTCCACTCCTGTACCTGGACTCATCAGAAATTTTACCGAAATCAAATAGCCACGTGGATTGGTGCTACTAAAATTGAAATCCCACAGGTCAAGGTCCTCATCTTAGTTGAACTGTCAATGATACCTGCACACCATTTTATATGTTCCATTTTGGCTCCCTCTCTTATTGTCCGTAGCTATTTCAAACCTTCACCATTTTCCCCTCAGTTTTTTTGTTTTTTTTAGTTTGCCAATTTACCTCCATTGGTTTCAGCAGATTATCTTTTTTTACTTACTGAAAGAAATAATTCCCAAAGATGTTTCTTCATCTTGCTGCCACTTCTCCTAACTTATTTGTATCCATACCTCTATTTTTCTTATTTTCTATAGTTTCAGTGAAAAATAATAATATAGCAAAAAATTAACAACACACATTCTCTTCTAGTGCCTAAATCTAATCTCATTTTTCAGATTCTACTCTGTAGTTCTTTATCAAGCTATCCAAGTGAAAATATCTAGGAGGCATTTTGATATACAAATCTGGAACTCAAGAAAGAAAGCCTGGTTGGAGATTCATGTTTGAAATTCAGCAGCAAATAAAGATGAATTAAAACTGTGGCAGAAGAACAGTGGCTGGCACATATACTCAATAATATCAGTCTATTCTTGTCCCTGTTTCCCTAATCTCATCCTCTTCCTCATTTCCTTTCTTAAATAGTGACACCAGAATTAATACCACCACTCAAGCCAGTAAATCCTTGTGTCACCTTAGATGCCTTCCACACCCACCATCTTCGACTAGTAGCGAAGTCTTGTTAGTTTACCTCCCTGATATCTTTTGAGTATCTTCTCTGTTGCTGTTGCCTTCACGCAGCTGGTTAGCATGTTTTCCTGGCTTATTGCCACTGTTCCCTAATGGTTTGCTCTGCTTCCAGGCTGTCTTTCTTGCAACCTATTTTCCTTCCACTTACTGAATTATCTGTGTACACATGCAAATGTGGTCATTCTATTTATAATTACTCAAGGTCTTCAAGTAGTTCCCTAGTCACAGTAAGATAAAACCTAGGCTGACACATAACACCCTTCATTATTTGGTGCTTAATTGCATCTCCAAACTCATTTCTTTTTACTTTCTACACTTCCTACCTGCTCGATATAGTCATTTGCAATTTCTCATATGTATTATGCTATTTTTAATAAACATAAGCTTTAGTATCTCTGTTTCCTTCTTGAGTTCCCACTACCTGCCATCTTTTTCCTCACCTCTTCCCACTTCTGTCGTCACCCTTTCCTTGACCAAATGTTTCCTCTTCAAATCATAACCCTAATATTATCTTTTAGAGAAAGACTTCTCAGTCTGAGTTATGCTCCCTGCTCCCAAGTTTTCTTCTGGTTTTCTATGCTCATGGCTCGTTGTTATAATTGCTCACACGTTAGTTTCTCCACTAACCATGAAGAAACCATGTCAGTGACTTTTTAATTTTAATTCCCAGCACCTAGTAGAGACCTCAGATATGGGAAGCCCACATAAAATGTTTGCTGAATGAACAAAAGAAGCATTTTGATTCATTATTTATCCTACTGCTTCTATATCTGTGTATGTTAGGATTTAGGATGAGAATTTATGGTAGAAATAAAGCTAAATTTATGTAAGATGAGACAAAATATATTTAACTGTTAACTCTTGGCCACTCTGACCCAAATAAGAGCCCCTTGCTAGCTTTCTCTGAGTACTAAGCATATGCATGTATTTCCCCCCTCCCCTTCTGGGCTTTAAATTCTTCCACATCAGGAACCACATCTGTCAGGCTCAGTGACCTATCCTTAGTGTCTGGCACAGGATATTTTCAATAGAGGCTGTGAGATTTACTAAATAATTGATTCTCCTCTGGAGAATGTCTAGTGGAATAGTTGTTCTCGATCCTTCGTAGATAAACTTATTTCTGAATCTTTGTCAAGTAGTTGCCTTTCTTGTTGCCCTTATAAATTAAAGCATAAATTCACTGATTTTATATGATATATATAACCTATGTGCTAAAATATATGGGATATGAATTAGAGTTCAACAAGGATGTTATTTTTAAAAACCAAACCAGAAACACATACAAACATGTTATTTTAACGCAGTGGAGAAAGCTCAAAATAATAACCTGTATCCCTGTCAAAAGCAGGCAACATACAGTCATTATATAATAATAGTATTTGATAATATTTAAAGGATAAATATTATTTAGAATAAGGCAAGTCATGTGGAAACACTACTTCATACTTATTAAATCATTTTCAGATGATATGCTTGGACATTCCGCTTTGTTACTAAATCGTGAAATTTACCTGTAAGATTCTTTATGAATGAAACAATTATCTTGGATTTCTCTTTCAATATTGCAGAATCTATGTCTTTAGTATCTTATGATGCTGGTTCTGGAAGAGCTTTTATAAAGAAAACAACACGATCAGTAACCCTGGTCCAAGAGATGTGAGAAAATGAATAGTCACATTTTTGGTATAGTATATCCATGCAAACAATTGTAGGTCTACATTATCACTTTATAATCATCTCACCAAGTAATCTGGAACAGAATGTTTAATTCCATGCTCTTTTTGTCGTAAACACAATTAAAAACCTACCTATTTTCACATGTTAATGTTTCATTTTCTTCTCTCTTCTTGCTTAGTGCTTGTCTGTGTATGTTATTTAGACTTCTCAGCAGGATAATACACTTATTTGTTCATTCAGAGAAACATGTACTGAGCACCCACTCTGTGCTAGGCACAGGACTATGTGTTGTGGGAGACCAAGCTGAAAAAGACATGGTCTTTGGCACAAAGACCCTACTGTCTAATGGTAAGTTTGAAAACAAGAGGTTTTTGAAGGTGTGATGTGTGGGAAATGCCCAGGCTGAGATTTCTAGTACAATTAATATTCTCAAAGGTAGTTTCATCCAATTCTCTGATAAAAGAGCCATGGTAACAATGAAAAACATAAAAATAATTACCTTAAGTACTCAAGAAATCAAGCAACAGGTAATCATTTGAGAAGCCTAAGATAAATTTTGACTAAATATAAAATACCGTGTGGCATGAACGAAAGAGTCCTATTAGGCCAGAAGAAAGGAAGACCCCTGGAGTTTAAGAGTGGTAGAGAATAAGAACAATTTGCTGTGGTTCATTTCATGTAATATGAGTTAAAATTGAAATCCCAAACTTTGTTAAATACAACACTGCTCTAATGCCAGACTTTGGGAAAGTCATGGCTCTATAAGCATCATGCATACAAAATGTAATTTTTCCTGCTCAGAATCAGGTAGTGAAGACAAGAAAATCTCACTTTAGTTCAGCAGAGGCACACTTCTAGATGTTATACATTGGGCTAATCACTGCACCAACTCCCAGGTGTGGCTCTTCATCAAAATTCCCTGGGAAAACCCAACTATCTGCCTACTGTACATCTGCACCAGAACAGCTGAATACTGCTGGAGAACACTACAGTGCTGACTGGTTTGCTCATTATACCTATGACTGCAATCTTAAATGGCCTCTCAACACTGCTATCCATCTGTTTACCTTTTCTTAATAGATTTGCTATTTTTAAATTCTCTTTCATTAATTCATTAATCTTTTTTTAAATTGTTGTTGTTGAGACAGAGTCTTCCAGGCTGGAATAAAGTGGTGCAATCAGTGCACTGCAGCTTTAACCTCCTGGTCTCAAGTGATCCTCCTGCTTCAGCCTCCTGAATAGCTGGTACTACCAGCATGTGCTACCATGGCCAACTTTTTTTTTTTTAACCATTTTTAGAGATGAGGGTCTCATTATGTTGCTTAGGCTAATCTCGAACTGCTGTCCTCAAGCAATTCTCCACCTCAGCCTCACAAAGTGCTGAGATAACAGGTGTGAGCCACTGCACCCAACATTTTCCATTAATCTTTCTACACTCTTCCCTCTCATATTCAAATGATGACCATCATATTTCTTTCAGACAATAGAAATAGTCATGAACATCCTCTTACACTCACCATCAAACCTACCCACCTTCCCTGCTTCAGTATTTATATTCTTTTTGCCCGGATTCCTGTTAAAATACACAATGTCTCAGCACCCACAAAAAGTTAGTTCCTCTCCATTTATAGTTTGGATCACATTCTGATTTTTCAAGGTTTTGCTACAGTAATTAATCACTATCTTTCCTATGTAATTTATCTCCATATATAGGATAATAGAAGAATAAAAATATTTCTTGGTATCTCTCATATCTTAAATTCTTAATATAGTGTCTCCTTCCAACAAATTTATGTTTTCTCTTTCTCTTTTATAGCAAAACTTCTCAATAAGGTACTACTACTTTTTATAAAGCACATTTTTGTGGAACTCACACATTCATCCTATTGAGCCTGTTTTTTCTGAAATCACCAATGACCTCTCTTGCTAAATAAAAGGTTCATTTTTATGTCTTTGTCTTAGTCAAGCTCAAGCTTGCAGCATATTTGACATAGTTTCCTTTCTTAAAATGCTTTTAATTTTTCTCTTTCTTGGTCTCCTCTTCTATAAAAGGAGTTAAGTACTTATGTTTACCTATATCATGTGGCTGTTGTGAGGATGGAGGAGTTAATACTAACACATAAACAGTATTAAATGTGCCTAGCACATGATATTTCTCAAAAAATGAAAGCTGTTACTGTTTTTAAAATAGGTACTCTCCTGTTCCCTCTCCTATTTTGATATTTCAGTGACTGTTTCAGTTTTGATTTCTGGCTGTGCCTCTGCTGCCTGACCTATAAATGGAGCAGGGCTCAGGGCTGGGCCCTCTTCTCTTGTCTGTCTTAATTTCCTCCCTGTATAATCTCACAGAGCCTCATGTTTTTGATTATTATATGTACATTAACATCCCAGATTTATATCTCTACCTCTCATCTATCTCTCGAGTTCCCAACTTAACTACTTGTCATCTCTTTTTTAAGTGTAATAAGGATTTCAAATTTAAAATACCATAACAGAATCCATAATTTCCCCCAAGATTTTTCCACGTTGTAAATGATACCAATATTTTTCCAGTTACTTAAACATCTCAACTGCTGTATTTTTCTCAGTCTTCACATACAATCAAATAATTAAGTCCTATTGGTTTTACCCCTATAAGTTTTCCTAAAACACTTCATCTCTTGCCACCTCCAGCCATGCTCATCTCTTGCCTGGCCTACTGCACAAAGCTCCTGGAGGATCTTCCACCTTCCATCCTTGGCTTTCTAATATTAAGTTTCTACTCAACAACCAAAGCCCTCTTCAAAAACCGTAAAACCTGTCGTTTCACTTCTCTCTCAAAAAGCTTGGGTTTTCTAAGCATCCCACCAAGGCCTACGGGTGTCTACCTGTTCTTGCCACTGTCTGTATTTTCAATCTGATATTCTACCACATTTGTCTTTACTCACTAAACTTCAGCCTTACTGCACCTTTTTTCTTTCTCAAATATGCTAAGCCAGTTTCCTTTGAGAGGTCTTTGCAGTGCATGTTCACTTTTCCTGGAATACTTTTTCTTCAGTTTTTCATGTGGATGCCCTTTCTTCTCCTTCAGGCCTCTGTCTAAATGCCTTTTGTTCAGAGAGGCCTTTCCTGATCAACCAATTTAAATTGGTCTTCTCCAGTGGTTTATGATCGGATCACCCTTTCTTAATAACTCTCACTATTATCTAAAATCATGTTACTTATGTATTTCTTTCTTTACTTGTTTTGTGTTTACTTCTCTCAATGAGAAGGCAATCTCCACGAAGGCAGAGATCTTTGAATGCTGAGTCCTCAGTGACCAGAGCAATGCCTGGCACATGGTACTTGGTAAGTAAATATTGTTGAATAAGTAAATGTTTAAGAAGGCATATTCCCAATAAAGTGTGAGAGCAAGCCAGGGCAATTCATATATCCTCTCTGTCGGTAAAACTGAATTTTATAGATATCCTTTCCTTAAATATAAGTTAACAATATAAAAGCATGACAATTTCTGCCATCCCCTACATTTTGTCAACATGGACTTGAATACTATAAAATATTTGGGTTATAAGGAATATGGAATATCATATGAAAGTTTCTAAGAAAGGTTTGTTAAAAACAGTAACTTATTTTCTCAATTTATCTCCGGTTGCTATGACTAGTTGGTCAATTGTCTTATTTTCTTCACTCCTGAATTGTTTATAATAATCTCTGCTTACCTGCAAGTATAAGCTGCAAAAATAAGATATGTCTCTACGTTAAAATTTGCCAATATATTACTATCATTAATATTACAAGTGGCATAGGTATTACTTGCAGAATTAGAGATTAGTACAGAAAAAGCCAAAGTCTCTCTTCTCATGATTACTGCCATGTGTTATTCATGCATTTATTCATTTCTTCAACAGATACATACAGAATATCTAATGTGTGCCAGGAAATATACCTGAAGATATGCAGTGAACTAAATATATACCATGCTCACTCTTTTCTGAATATCATACTAAAGTAAATTATTAGTATGATCGACCTATCAGAAATATCATAATTTTGAGTCGGCATTATATATGACAGCCTTGGAATATATGATTTCTTTTCTTTTTCTTGGAAGGATTGAGTTGGTGATTTAGTATATGAATTTAAATTTTCCATCCTGGTCATAGTCAATGTATTCTCCAAAACATAGAGATTATCTTTAAGTTGGGAAATTTGCAATAAAAACATTATTCAGGTCCTAGAAAACAAAGTATAATTAATGAGTGTTCAAAAAAAGAATAAAAATGCTTAATCAAAATGGTTCCAATTATATTACATTTTATCTTGAAAAAAAAGATACTACAAAGCACATTCAGGGAAAATATTTAATACCCAAAGTGATATTTGATAGCACATTATGAAGAAAAAGTCTACATTGAAGAGAATGTATTCATTATTTATTTTATTATGAATGTTTCCTTCCTGCTCTCTTTCAGTTTGGAAGTATGCCAATTCAGATGAACATCAACTTACTCTAAGCAATAAAAGTAGATTATTAGATTGGGTTTTTCAGATAAAATTATACATGTTGCATGAAAGTTTGCTTTTTAAAGGAATTCTACCATAAAACTATATGAAGCAAATTATTTCATTATTATTTCTTGTGGGAATAAATACAATGAATGAAAAGTATATATTAAAATTATTTAAGCTAATTAAACATGTAAACTCAATTATCAGATTCTCCATCTTGGGGCTGATAATAATAGTTACAAATGATATGAACAGTTTCAACTGCTAATGGTGTTATAATCCTCCCAACTGGTGAGTTATCTTAGAGTGAAAGAGGACAACTTGTACTTATTTTCCAATAAAAATGGCAGAGAAATTACATGCATGTATATTTCTGATAAATATATATATAAATTATAAAATTACTCTCACACTGGCAATGCCTATTAATTAGATCTATTGGGAGTTTTGAAATGATAAAGTAACTTCTCTATTAATATACATTTGGGTTATTTTTATGTATTTTTAAGATATTGCTGCATATGGAAACTCATTATTTAAACATTGAGGAATTAGATAGACTATTTTACTAAAATTATCGTTTCCTGATTATGCTGAGAAATACAATAATTTTTCTGGCAGAGGTCAAATGGCCAAAAGCTGGATGGCTGATGTTCTGATGAACAGATCTTTGATGACATCTAGTGGTGAAATGTAGATTTATTTATTCACTGTTCTCAAAGTTTTAAGATGTCAATGTTGTATATATCTTGAGAGACATTGAGATAAGTTGGAGATTGAATAAAATGGAGAAATTTGGTAATTTTTGTCTTCAGCAAAGATACCTTAAAATGGTTAAGAACAAAGGGGTAGGCAGAAAAGAGATAAACAACCTTTAGTAAACATTTTTACATTTTAATTCTGAGAAATTTGTGTAGAGAATAAAATTTAAAACTGTAGCTTATAATATAAATATATTTCTTCGTGCAATTATGTTTAGCTGATGTGAATATGCTCCATTTATGTGTATAAGCACCACACTTGTTCTGATTAGGTGAATTTCAGTAATATATGGACTTTTAAGAAAATTTAAAAGAAAGCCAAAAGACAACCTGTGTATATATTTTCCATTTATGATAATCTATCATTATTTATATTTTTAAATGACTGAATAGACATGTCCTTATACTTAGTAGCAGCAAATTTTGTTGACCTAGGCTTATTTTATATGTGTTTTAAGCAAAATAACATCACAAGCAATGAATTCTAATTTTTGCTAGGTTTTCAGGAGCAAAATTATTTATACTTTTAACAAATCAACTCAGACCTTTAATCAGCATGTTTCAGCAGCACAAACATGCTGGAGACTGTCAAATTTTGTCTTCAGACATATATATACTAGCAGAAATTGGGGCAAATTATTTGATATCATTAAGCCTGAAACTTATTTTCAGAATGAATATATTGGATTAAACCCCAGTCTCTCTTTGAATCCAAACATTCTTTGATTTTTATATGATCATCTATATGCTTTATTTACTCTTTGGAACAAAGTTCTACCAAGGAGTAGGGGGAAAGTGTCACAATTATATTTCTAAGACTCTGTTTACAAATTACAAGTGAAATTGGAATTTTGTTAATTATCCAGTTAATTTAATTAGTGTTTAAATTCAGACTCAATTTGTCATAGCCTAATTTACCTACATTATTGTGTCTATATTGACTAAATTAAATGTTTAGCCTGCACTTTGCTATGTTGACTTAGCCTGTAAACTGACAGAGAAATAAGAGAGTACATAACAATGTAAACTAGTATAGTTTCTCAGGGGAAATATGTTTTCTTTACACTAGATAAGCTCCGTTGTGTTAATCACACTGCAAATGAGCAATAAAATATTTGACATACATGATCAAAATGTTATAGTCAGTTATTTTTATTAATTCAAAAAATATTTACTGAGTACCGATTATGTGCTCAGCAAAAAATTTTATATTGATAAAATTTGTTTTGTGGTATCTTTTCCCTAGCAGTCTCCAGCACGTTTGTGCCACTGAAACATGCTGACTAAAGATCTGAGTTGATTTGTTAAAAGTATAGATAATTTTGCTCCTGCAAACCTAGCAAAGATCAGACTTCATTGTTTGTGATGTTATTTTGCTTAAAACACATATAAAATAAGCCTAGGTTAACAAAATTTGCTGCTAGTAATTATAAGGACATGTCTATTCAGTCATTTAAAAATATAAATAATGATAGATTATCATAAATGGAAAATATATACACAAGTTTTCTCTTGAATTTCATTTAAATATTCTTATATATTTCCAAATATATTTCCATATATTACTATGTGTATATATTTACTATATATTACTATATATGTTACCATATATTACTATATGTAATATATTTTCATATATTACTGAAATTCACCTAATCAGAACAAGTGTGGTGCTTATACACAGAAATGGAGCATAATCACATCAGCTAAACATAATTGTTGACTGTTTTGAAAACATGCTTTCAGGAATATCTTTGTGTTTGTTAATTCTGCAATATTCACATTGTTTTATTAAGATAGAGTCCTGAACTGAAATTGAATTGATGAAAGTATAAGAGTACTTTATAGCTTTCGGTAGGCATTGCCAAACTGCTTTCCAAAAAGACTTAATAGTTTACAATATCACTAGTACTTGTTTTTCTACCATGCATCATTATTACGAAGTAAACTTGTTTTTTCTTGTTTTGCTTGTTTGCTAAGTGAAGTCTGTATCTCATTTTGATTTGAATTTTCATTTCTTTAATAGAAAAAGATATCTGTCTGTACTTTCTGTTGCTATTTAAAATTTGTCTTCAGAATGTATATAAACTTTGAAAATTTTGGCAGATATATCTCCTACTGTATTATTTGCCTTTTACTGTTTTTGCATGGTAGTTTAATTTTTTTCTTATCTGTCTTTTCTTTTATGAGTTCTCCCCTTGTTTTCAAATGTACAAAGGCACCTCTGTCTCTTCCAGGATATTGAAAATATTTGGGTCTAGTTTCTTTTAGTTGTATGCTATTTCATTTTTAAAGCTTTACCTTTTAATCCACTTACATTTACTTGTGTTTGATGTAAAATATTTACCTGAATTAATTTGCTCCCAAATTTTAAATAATTGTCCCAGTACTGCTTATTATATAATGCTTTCTTCACTCTATCATGGTGATATTTTCTTTGTCACATAAAGTTTTATGTTCAGCAGGACCCTTATCTTGTTTAGGGCGACATTTTTCTTCTTGCTTAGGTTTTACACTTTTGCATGCTTTCCCCATCCTGACTTTGATGAATATTAGTTGAATGAATGGCTATAATTTTTAATATGTTTTATCACCTGATAAACTAATTGACATTCAAACCTCCTGTCATCAAGTTTAGGTATCTGCTTTTTTTACATTTTACTTATTCCTTTTCTCATTTCAATGTAATTGTGTTCAAATCTCTCCTAAATATGTTTGATCTCAGATGTACCATGCAAGGACTTCTGAAAATCCAGCTTCACTTTTACAATGTAGCACTTTTTCCAAGTGCATATTTTGTGAGGCTTTTAACATTTATCAATTAGCAACTAGACACTGACTCAGAAACAAAAACAACAAAAAAAGTGTTCAATGAAATGGCCTGAACAGATGGCCGATCTAAGACAGGAAGTCTTCTTTTTTCTGTTTAGTCCACTGATCCTTTTTATTCTGCAGTGGAATAAGGATGATTTCAAAGTTACTCTTATGCTGTTCTATGGATTATTCTGGGCTGTTTATGGATGAATACAAGGTAACCATTCAGTGGAGCAATGTTGCTGTTGGCTTAAAACGTAAAAGAACAATGCAAGGACAACTGACCTTGGTACCCTAGTATTCTATCTTGAACATATATTTGATATTCGCAGCCTCAGTCTGAAGTATACATTTGAAAAGTAAGACAGAAAAGACATGTGAATATAAACTCGGTTATAAATACTCTTTATATCATTAAACATAGACTATTTGGAAACATTCCCAGGATATAAGCAGTGATTTATTTGTTTGGGGAGGTAGGCATGGAAATTCCTCCCCTTCTCACTAAACAATCTCATTCGAATTCTTCATGTTCGGTAAATTCTAAGCACTGGGGAATACATTTTCCTTCCTATAACTCAATGTGGTTTGCATTAGTCCTTAATAAATATATTATGATATGCTATATACGTCAGTTTGCAGCTTTAGAAATCATTGTGTAACTTCCTGCCAACCACCTCCAAAATGTACAAATAGGCTATTGCATACAAGGTGAGTAACTGTGTATCTTTTAAAATTGATTATTATCCTTTTAAAAAAATTAATCATCCTCACTTGTACACCAACCTAGAGAGAGTACTGACCTCTTGTAAGCAGTTTTGAAGGTTATTCAAAGTGGTAGTGACATTTTCAAGTCGTTTTTCAAATGCATTCATTTTTGAACCAGCGGGACTTTGTAGCTGCTGAAAGAGAGTATCACAAAGTCATATACACCAGGCAGCAACAATGATATAATTAATTGAGTTGTAGGTAAAATTATGTAAAACAGCTTGACTTTTGAGTTCATCAGTAAGGTGTCCAGTTCATTTTTTTTTTTTTTTGGCAAGGTAAAGCTGGCAGTGATATTTTAGTGGTACAATACTGACATCCAATGGAGAGACAAATTAAATCTTATTTCCTTTGAAGAGCTAAAAAAGAGTTATTATTTATGCTGTTTCTAAGAGATCTTTCACATTGAAGAATTCATTCAATTTTAAGACATGTAAATTTGTATCTCTGTATCGTCCCTTCAAAACAGTATTATAATTTTCAACATAGTTGTATAAATATGCCAAAAATTTTCAGTTGTAATCTTTTTGTTGTAGTTGCTTGTTTGGTTGCAGGTTTCTCCCTGCAAGAAAATATTTGTTTCTTAATTCATCAGGATATAATCACTAAGTAAATAAATATCATTTGCTTATACATAACTATATTTAGGACCTTAAAATGAACATAAAAGATATGTTGTTCATAGTAAAGATAACCAGTTATTGCAGATATTTCCCCATAATATTTTAGAGTTTAGCTGAGTCAACGTTTGGTTGATTTTCTAATATTGCATAATTAGATGTATTTTAACAATTAAAAGAATCTTAAAGAGCTATTAGTGCTGGTATAGTAAATCATAGCCAGTGTAAATGAATGTTTGTAAAAAGTCATTAATGTCAGTGGAAATTAGAACCTCGGGCCTGTAGTTTTTCTGTCAGCAGAAGACAGTGTGTATTCTGCCGAGGAATATTGACTGCATTCTTATTCAAAACCCAAATAAGTTTGATAATTTAGACTAAGCCATATTGAAAAAATTTGAAAAGGGACCGGGATAGACACCTTTGTGTGTGTATGTATGTGTGTGCACACGTGTGTGTGTTTTCCTACTCAGCACACCTCCTCAATCTTTTGACAATGAAGCACCTCCTTATTGGGGGGTTCTATGTAGTTTGGGTGGGTTAAATTCTTTCCTCCAGTGACAGGGATTTGCATGTGACCCATGACTGGTTAGTCTGAGTAATTCATCTCCTGCCCACAGTGACAAGTGCAGGGATCAGAACACAAACCAAGCAGGAGCTATTTTTTCAGATTCTGCTAGGATTGCTAAAGTTATAGGACAGGAGCTTTAGACTCAATGGCTCTGGTTCCCTGGATCCAGCTGCACCTGATCTGGCTTTATTAGGTGCATGAGTTAATCCATTCATTTGTGTACTTAAGTTAGTTTAAGATAGGCTTATGATTGTTGTTGTTGTTATTATTATTATGATTGTTGTTTATAAGGGAAAGAACCCTGAGCAATGCAGTGAACACAATACTGGTGACTGGCATGAAAATTTTGAAATAAATTATAATATAATTCTCTGCAACAATAGATTTATGCTACCAGAACATATCACTATTTCACACAGTCATTGCACTAAGAGGTTAAATCAAGTGAAACTTCTCTATTAACCATGAAGGGAAAAAATGGTTTTAATAAAAATAGTTTTATTAAAAAGTTTAAAAATCACTAAAAAATAGAAAGCACTAAACTATTGATAGGGTGGAATAAATCAATAATTTTCTTACTAATAAATTCAGTGATCTGGAACAAATCACTTTCTTACATTTTTAATTTCCTTATATGTTTGATGCAGGAGTTAAACTCCATAACATAAATCTAGCTCATACTGAATACCTGACTATTATGACGGCAGAAAGACTATATCTTCCAATGTCAGATAGTCTCCAACACAAAGCGAATCAGGAAAAATACAAAAACAAAAACAAACAAAAAAGAAATCACTAACAAACATAAAACTGGAAACAAAATGTATGTACGAGGCTTTAATACCCTTAGGAAATCTGTTTACACTTTTGTTTTCTTTTTACAAAAACACCTACACCAAAGAGTTTACTCATTTGTTCTTAGTTTTGCCTTTTGCTTTTCAAACAATGTTTTGGGTTTTGTGAAGTTTAGGAATATAAATTTGTCTTTTTTTCCCTAAAATATAAGAAAATCTTGCATACACTGGAATGTGGATAATCAGATTAACTGCAGTTTTTTCATGTATTCAGCAACTTAATTAATCAACACATAGTTATTGAATAACAACGGTGTGCTAAACACTTGGCAAGAATATTCTTCTATTATTTTGAAAAACAAAAAATATTGACACTGACCTATTTGAGACAGAACAGATGAAGGGGTTTGGGTGGTTTTAAGCATAATTTTAATTAGCACATTTTTTTCAAAGTCTTGGGTCTCTCTGTATACAGATTTGAATTGAGAAAGACAGGGATGGGGCACAGAAAATACTAACAGGGACAAGTGCTTTCAGGTCATATTTGAGATTTACTGCTACTCTTCGGTGAAGACCACTGAAAACTAGGAACTTGAGGTAGATTCCCTTCTTTCACCACTATAGAGAGTCAATAACCTAAACTCATTTTATCTGTTCAATATCCCGGAAACTAGGAAATTTTTGTTTAGTATTTGCTTTTGACGAACACTTGGCAGCTGAAAAACTTCCAACCAGATTGGTAAACTCTGGAGAAAGATAAAAACTGGAAGCAATCATTCAGGGTCTGATTAAATGTAAAAATGTACATGTTTACTATGTAATTTAGTTACAAATAGTTTTGTAGGAAAAAACCCAAACTTAGTGGCTATATCTAGTTAGGAAGACAGATAAGGATTCGTGTCATCCAAACACGAACTTGGTGAGTAAGCTGTTGAAGCTCAGATACAAATTCACACAGGAGTGATTTAATTTTCTCAGTATAATATACCAATTGCCAGATTCTTGGCTGCACTCTGATTGTTACTTACATAGTAGCTGAGTAGAAACAATAAGATTGAGCCAAGTAGCATTTCATATGTGCGGCGTGGGGGAGGTGCTGGTGGTGGTGGTGGTGTTCTTTCTTTAATGACTATTTAAGGATGTTTCATAACTGTGTTGCTTTTATCACTATTTCTCTTATTTGGTATAACTCTGAATGTAAATCGTCCTAGTTTTTTAAAAGGTAGCTCTTTATTTCACACAAGTTATGGATCCATTAAGATTTCAATGTAAAATATATGCTATTTTCTTGCTTAGTAAACCTCTGGATATCTCAGGCCAACATTTTGTAGGAACGATAGGCTGTGTGTATGTATTGCTATTCCAGGACTAACCTCTGTTACATTTTATATCACTTTATCGCCAAACATTTCCATAGTAATCCAAGACTATAGCCTTCACTGATGTTTTTTCAGCCTTTAAATCTGTGGATAAAGATTATTAAGGATTATATCTCACTGATTAGTATCAACTGATTTACAATGTATAAAGATTTACATTGTAATACAGAACTACTAAGGAAATCAAAGTCAATTGGAATAGCCTATTAATGCCTTCCAGAGGAAAGAAAATAGAGATGTGTCCTGGTCAGTCTCTTTCTCTCTTCCCCTCTTTTTGACACACTCTACAAATATTTTACATCTTTAAGTGAATATCCCCAGATAGAGATAATTGAAAGATAAGCATTTTCTTGTATGAAAATGAATTAGTTTATTACCAGGACAGAATAGGGGGTCTTAAGAGAAAGTAGCTCCTACTACCTGTTCCCTGGCAGAAAGAGGAGCTACAATTAAAATATTCCAAAATGAAAATTATCATATCAGGCAAGATTTTTATTTAACTTTTAGCAGGCAGCAGTTACTACCTGGAGGTTCATCTTGTACTATTCATGGCTTATTGGGCATTTTTATATGATTTAAGTTGCAGTCATGCTTCATAGCTTGGAATTGTGAAGGCTTGTTTGCTCACTTGTTGCTATGTAAGAGCACACTTGGAATTGCTGCTTGATAATAACTTTATTCTTATCAATAGGTATTACCTGGCTCACCTTAAAGGTGAGCAGCCCTCACCTAGTCAGCTACATATCCTTTTCCGGATTCTTAATTTTTACAAGAGGATGGCAGCCTACTCCCAGCAAAACTGCCTGTTGAAGCATACAGCACTGCGCTCAACTCCCACAGTAAAAGTGACTATATGAAGGTCCTTCCTAAGAATATACTCTTGACCTTGTTATCTGTCAATAGCTTCCAAAAACTTGGCTGAGATAAACAGTAGTTATAGAAGACTGCATAAAGATTGTATCATCCATTCTTTCAACTAAATCTATATTTTTCAAACATCTTTTAAAGTAGCAGAACCTTTTTATCAAATGGGACTTTTCACACAGTCCAGTAAATAAAATGGATTTAAAGAAGAGTTTACCCCAGGGACTCCTATTGAACCATGTTGTCTTTAGTGGGACCCCCAGCTGTGCAATGAACAATCTGAAAACCATTGCTATAATTGAGGTTGCAAGCCCAAAGGCCTTTAGGGGCCCACTCAAGTAAAGGTAGATTAGTCTGTATTTCTATACATATACATATTTCTATACATATACAAATACATGTACATATACATATACACACAAAATATATATCAAGAGCATGAATAATTCCCAAGGGCATTTATCAAATGTGATTTGTTTGTTTGTAAAACACTGTGCTGGCCACACAAGGCACATGTGCCCTTCTCATTTTATCCTTTGGGCCCTAGTTTCCACACCCAGATACTCTAAAGTCTATCTTGTTTTGTTTTTTTTTTTTTTTTTTTTTTTGAGACGGAGTCTCGCTCTGTCGCCCAGGCCGGACTGCGGACTGCAGTGGCGCAATCTCGGCTCACTGCAAGCTCCGCTTCCCGGGTTCACGCCATTCTCCTGCCTCAGCCTCCCCAGTAGCTGGGACTACAGGCGCCCGCCACCGCGCCCGGCTAATTTTTTGTATTTTTAGTAGAGACGGGGTTTCACCTTGTTAGCCAGGATGGTCTCGATCTCCTGACCTCATGATCCACAAGTCTATCTTAATAGCCACATTATCAGAAAATTATGCCCTGAAACTGTATTATATTATATATAAATGTAACACATCATTTATTTTGCTTGATTGCATTTGGCATATTGCCATGAGCATGACTGACTCTATAGGAAAGAGCATCATGTGTTTATTATTAGGACATTTAGAACAGTGTTTCTCAAAAACTGATAAATGTACCTTTGTATTAGAATCCTCTGGAATGCACATTTCTTGGCCTTATCTCAAACTTACCAAAGCATAATTTCTGGTAGTGAAGCCTGGAATTCTATACATAAAATTATTTGATTAATGCAGAGGAAATTTAAATACATATAACTAAGTGAAAGAAGCCAATCTGAAAGGCTACATAATGTATGATTTCAACTACATGACCTTCTGGAAAAAGTAAAATGGACATTCTGTTCCATTTTATTGTGAGCCTAAAACTGCTCTAAAAAAGTTTATTAATGCAAAAAGGTAGATAATTATTATGAACAATGAAGTTTGAATATCACTGGTCCAAAGGATCTTTTCTATTTATTAACCTGTGTCCTCAGAATCAATAGAAACTGTTCTCTGAGCTCATCTTGGAAACAGTGTTAATTAGGCTTTTACTAAACATTTTTTCTTAACTTTCAGAATGCTGTGAATTTTGTAACTAGTAGTGCTTTCTTCTTTGTGTGGTTTGCTCATAAACTTAGAATCAAATTTATGGAGTTTATTTCACAAGTATATACCACTTCAAGGCCTTAAATTATCTTGCCAAACTCACTATTGGCTCTACTTTATTTTTCTATTACTAAATTTTCTTCATTTATTTTTCTTCAATTATTTTAATTTGCCTTATCTTGACAGAATATATTTTTGCTTCTGTGTAAGATATTTTAAACACTGTCACATTGGACAATAACTTAATTTTTCTGAGGTAATATTCTCATTTTTAAAAGGGAAATATTACCCAACAAATAAGTTTGTTGGATAATTCAACGTGATAGTGCATATAAAATACTTACCAGAGTGCCTGGCACATAATAAGCACTCAATAACTGCTACTTAGTAATTTTTTTAACAACAGGAATAATATATGCCAATATAAGTGTTAATGTAAATCATCAGTGATATTTCAGACATTGATAGCTTTTTCACTTTATAATTTCATTTTTATTTGCTTAATTATTGTGAAATAAATTACATACATCATTACATTTTATCTCTAAGTACTTCTAATGTGCATCTGTACAAAAATAAGAACACATACATCTAAAATAATATTATCACATCTGAAAATAATAATTTCTTGATGTCTTCCAATACTCTGTCCACTCCTAAATTTTGCCAGTTATCCCCATAATGTCTTTTCTAATGCGTTTGTCCAATGAACAATTTTAAGTAGAAAAACAATTGCTGGGTTTCTCTCTATATAATCTGAACATCATTTGGCCATTTCTAAGTAATCAATTTTATGCAGGTTGGCTAGTAGAAGAGGACAAATGTTAGACAAATGGAAAGGGCAAGGAAAAGACCTGGCCAGAGCAGGCTGTTCCATGTGAATAAACAACCAGAGCATGCTGTTCATGCCAATTGGTATTTTTGCAGTTGGACTATAATGTCATAGGATAGAGAGTCATACTTTTAAAATTCATTTCAGCAAATAATAACACAATGGCCAATAATACAAACCTGGGAATTGACAGTATAGAACAGAGAATCCACGACTATCTCCATAGAAAGAAGCTGATCTGATAAATTATGCATACTATTGTGTAACTGGATAATTTTGCCTTTCGATTCATGAAGTTCCAGTGTACTGGACATATTCAGGTTGTAAACACATTCAAAAAGACAGGATACTTCCTATGTGCTGAAAATAGAAGAGCACTGAAAGCATAAAGCATAGATTTTATTTCTTTTTTTGGACGGAGTTTTGCTCTTGTCACCCAGGCCGGAGTGCAGTGGCACAATCTCAGCTCACTGCAACCTCTGCCCCCTGGGTTCAAGCGATTCTTCTGCCTCAGCCTCCTGAGTAGCTGGGATTACAGGCACATGCCACCATATCTGGCTAATTTTTGTATTTTTCGTAGAGACAGGGTTTCTCCATGTTGCTCAGGCTGGTCTCGAACTCCCGACCTCAGGTGATCCTCCCGCCTTGGCCTCCCAAAGTGCTGGAATTACAGGTGTGAGCCACTGCGCCCGGCTGAAAGCGTAGATTTTTCTAAGTGAATTTACTAAAATATTCTGTGAAGTGACCATCTAAAAAGGAATTAAGCACCAGAAAGATCCCCTGATGCACAGGAATAAAATTTTAGTAAAGTAAATATAGCTCAAATTTTAGATTTTAGAAAATGATATGGCAGGGGTTATTTTTTGTTCTCAAAATGAGCACTAGTTGCTTTGATTTTTGAGCTGTTGACATATATTTCCACTACTTGTGGTTTTCTACTTTGTGAGAAATTCACAGCAATCAGAGAAAAGATAAACAAGAATAAAACTGAGCATTTTTTTAAGTTTTCTTTAGTCTGAGGTTTTCCAAATGTTTGTGCTAGTCTATCAGTTGGAGTGAATTCCAAAAAGCATCTGATCTTTGAAGGTAAAACTAAATTCATTAGTGTCTCTTTCCCTTTTTCACTTCCCCATCAAACATATACACAATAACACATACACAGTCCTTGTATAATATATTTTAGAGGTAATTTGATGACTTTAATAATTATTGGCATGATTTATGCTACCTCATGAAGCAATTGATTTATTTTGAGTTTGGGGAGCTGGAATCAAGTCACATATTTTATTATATTTATTCCTTCTCAGTGTGCTTCCTTGTCTTGATGGAAAAGTTTTCTCATTCTAAATATTTGGAGTGATCTTATTCATTATATTTCAACTATGTTAGGTTTTCTTGCTCAGGAAATACAATTAATTCAAGTCATTAATTCAAGAAACATAATTGAGCCCCTGCTATGTATCAGACTTTTTTTTTTAGGCACTAGGAATAGAGTATTAAACAAGACAGAGAAGCATATATAGCCTCATGGGCCTTGCATTCTAGAAGGGAGAGAAAATAACCAAAAAAAAAAAAAAAAGTACTACGCTATGTATGTAAAGTGAGGAAAAGACTAAGTGAGTTCTGCTGAGGTGGGGATGGGGAGAAGAGTCACAAACATAAATTGGGTAGATGGGAAAGACTCTTATTCTGCCATGTGCTAGGTAGATGCAGCTGAATTCACTAGAGGAGGGGGAAGTTTATAATGTTTTTTACAAAGGCTCAAATGGGCTAGACTTGGCTTTGGGGAAGCAGTCAAAATCATTGACTTTGACTTTCATGGAGTAGAATGAGAAGCCAGTTGATGGCTGCCAAGCTTAGGACAGTTAGTTGGTTACTGCCATGTCCAAGCAAGCTCTGACCATGGAGATTGCAGTAGACATAAAGGAGAATTGGTCACAATCTGAACATATTTTGAAAGTAGAAACAACAGAATATGGATATTAACAAAAGGGAAGAATTGATATTACCACACAAAGTTTTGGCCAAGAAACCATGAGAGTGGAGTTACTATTGAGATGTGATACGTAAAGAGTTCAAAAGAAACATATTTGGGGTGTGTGTGCATGTATGTGTGTGCTTGTATCAGGGAAAGGGAGAGTCAAGAGGAATATTTTGTTTGAAATTATTATTAAAAATCCAAATCGTGATGTTGTGTAGACAGTCTTGAATATAAGAGGCTGGAGTTCAGGGGAGAGTTCCTGGGTAGACACGTAAATTTGAAAATTTTCAGCTTGGTGTCTTAGAGATTGGATGAGATCACTAAGAGAGTGAGCATGAATAGAGAAGAAGTCCCATGAGTTCGATATGAGACACTACACTCTAGAGATTAGGAATATGAAAACAACAAAGGAGATAGAGAGGGAGCTCTCCCTGAGAAAAGAGGAACACCAGAAAAAGATGGTGACCTGGAATCCAAGTGAAAAAATTACTTTAAAGAAGAAAGAGGTATCTGAAGAATCAAATGCTATTAATAGGTCAAACAAAATGAGGGTTGATAACTATCTTTGGACTTTGGAATACAGGGCCTTTGGTGACTTAACAAAACCTATTGTTTTTTAGTGTTTGAGGAAAATAATGGCATGAGTTCAAGAAAGAATGCAGGAGGGATTTGAGATAAGAAATAGAGGACGATGATTGTAGACAAGACTTTCAAGAAGTTTAGCTAAGAGAAAGGACATGGGAGGCCTTGGATAAGGCTGAGGGGGCAAGTAAATATTTTTAATACAGAAGAAATGATATTATGTTTATATATGAAGTGAAATGGTTGTAGAGAGAGAAAATTAAGACTTGAGATAGACTGGAGAACTTCCTGATTGATATCCTTGAGTGGGTTAAAGAAGACAAGGCATAGAGTACAAGTGAAAGATGTGGCTTTAGCTAAAAGCACAGTCATACCCTCCATAGCAATAGGAGAAAAAACACAGGGCACACATGTGGGAAGGTGGGAGAGTGTGGATGTAACCTTCAGATTGTTTCCTTTTATTTAATGAAACAAGGTCATTGACCTAATGTAATGGGAGAATTGGTGTGGGAGTTTTGAGGAGAAATATATATAAAGTAGTTATTCAGAATGTGGATTAGTGAATGAATTAGGGAAATATGGCATTTTAGCTGGAGAGTATTGGAGACCCACTTGATGAAAGACACAGCGAATTTAAGGTGATTGTGTTCTGCATAATCACTGTCATTGTCACATTCTGGCATGTAAGTGAAGACTTAGAGTGGGCTGAGAGATAGTGTTTTCAGTTTTACTGAGTGAGGTATCACAAAGCAACAGAGTGGGGTTATTATAATGTCTGGCCGTAGAATCTAAGCTGATAAATTGTGTGAATAAGATGAAGCCCTAAGGAAAGTGAGGGACAGTAAAAATGTGATAATATCAAAGTATTGTTTTTCTGGGGTTAAAGGAGTTTTGAGTTAAGATGTCTATTAGTTTCCTATTGCTTGTGTAGCAAGTTACTACAAATGTAATAGTTTATAAAAATACAAATTTATTATTTTACAATCCTGGATGTCAGAACTCCAAAATGCATCCCACTGGGCTAAAATCAAGGTGATGATAAAGTTAAGTTTCTTTCTGAAAGCTCCAGGGAAAAAATATATTTTTGTAGTTTTTCCAGTTTCTAGTGGTTTCCCGCATTCCCTGTTCATGGCCCCCTTTCATCTTCAAAGCCAGCAATGTCTGTTAATATCTTTCTCTGGTTCTTACTCTTCTGCCTTCTTCATTTAGGTCTCTTGTGATTACACAATGAGCCCATCTGGATATTCCAGGATAATCTTCATATTTTAAGATTTGCTAATTAGTAAACTTAATTCTGTCTAATATTTAAATTTCCCTTTGTCATGTAACAGCGGGAATTAGGACATTGACATCTTTGGGGGTCATTATTCTGCCAAACACAAGATATTGAAAGTAGTAAGCAGGAATTATGGGAGGAGATGAGAGAAAATGTATACATGTATGTATGTATACAGAGAAAATGTATATAGAAAGAAGTTGTTGAATAGGAAGCTTGAAATTGAAATTGTTATTTTGTAGTGGGTCTAGAGATTGATTATGGGAATGAACAAATTCCAAAGGAAGAAAGTAGTCTAAAGAACTGATAGACCTCAGTTTTGAAATTATCATTTTGAAAGGATAATTATAAAGCCCATACCATTACATTAAAAATCAACATTAAGGATCTAGAACCAGAAATACCATTTGACCCCACAATCCTGTTACTGGGTATATACCCAAAGGATTATAAATCATTCTACTATAAAGACACATGCACACAATATGTTTATTGCAGCACTGTTCACAATAGCAAAGACTTGGAACCAACCCAGATGCCCATCAATGATAGGCTGGATAAAGAAAATGTGGCACATATACACCATGGAATACTATGCAGCCATAAAAAAGAATGAGTTCATGTCCTTTGCAGGGACATGGATGAAGCTGGAAACCATCATTCTCAGCAAACTAACACAGGAACAGAAAACCAAACACTGCATGTTCTCACTTATAAGTGGGAGTTGAAAAATGAGAACACATGGACACAGGGAGGGGAACATCACGCATTGGGGCCTGTTGGGGGATGGGAGTCTAGGGGACGGAGAGCATTAGGAAAAATACCTGACGTAGATGACAGGTTGATGGGTGCAGCAAACCACCACGGCAAGTTTATACCTATGTAACAAACCTGCATATTCTACACATGTACCCCAGGACCTAATGCATAATAAAAGAAATCAACATGAGAGGGTTTTGGGGATCCAAGAGATAAAACACTTAATCAATGAGGAGTCATGACCCACTGTGGCAGATTTTATTATTGTTTAGTAAATATTAGGCTTGGCCATGTCACTTTCTTTGGCCAAGGGAATGTAGCGATAAGTGAAAATGTGCCAGTTCTGAACAGAGGCTTTAAAGGCTATTACAGGATGTAGCCATTCCTCTTGAGCTCCTACTGACCTCTGTTGTTAGAACTGCATGCTGGGATGGTGGCTGCTCATTCAGCCTGGGATTTGGAATGTGAAGACATGTGAAGCAGATCTGAAACTAATCTATAACCTGGTTCTAAGCCCAAGTGAGTTTAGCTCATTTCCATCCAGCTAAAGCTAATCCACAGACCAGTAGGTGGAACACAAATGATTGTTTTTGTAAACTGTTAAGTTTTGAGATTGTTTGTCATGCAGCATTATGCAGCAAAAGCTGATTAATACATCAGGTAACAGCAGATGACAGTAATAAGCAGGGCTAGTAGTGAACTACTCTGAAGATATGGAATTTAAAGCTTTTTGTTTTTTCTTTCAGGGAAGAGGGAGGGAAATGATCTGGGATCCACTGTGAGAAACAAGGACACTTACTTTATTTACTGGTCCAAGAACTGTGAGCGGAAAATCAGAATTTACTTTAGGAGTTTCAAGGAAAATGAGGTTCACAGAAGGCATCTGCATTTTTATTAAAGCAAGAAGGTGAAGGGACAATTTGGAGACATTGAAGATATTAGAGAATTTGCTAATGATCTTCCTTAAATTTCATAGCACAGTAGTAAAATTTCCACTTTGACTTCTTTCTTATTTTAAGATCTGTTTTTTTCAGCTCCATAAACATGCTTCTGCTCTTCATTGTCCTTTTTCCTAAGCAAGAGACTAGAGACATTCTTAATTCTTCCCTCCCCATTGCCTCTCACATTCAATAGATGCCCAGGCTTTGTCTATTATGCTTTCAAGTTATGTCCCAAATGGGTTGCTGTTTTTTTCTGTCCTCACACTTCTGGCCTGGTACGTACTCTCTTCTTTACTTGCATGAGATGCTGAAACAATTTTCTAAAAGGCTTTTATGTTTCTAGTATCACCTCCAATTAATCTGCTTATCTATTGAAAAAAACATGGATTCTGGAGTCAGATATTTCTCAGTTGGCATATCAGCTTTGAGACTTATTGTAGACAAAAGATAAAGCTTTATGAACTTTCCTCACTTGTAGAAATTGGACACAATAAAATTATCTAATTTATAAGGCTGCTGCTGGAGTTAAATGAAATCAAACCTAGGTAATTTTTGGCACTAAATAATGTCCAATTAATGTTAGCTTCCTTCTTTCTTTTACATTTCTAGAGCTGTAGTTTAATAGTGAAAATTTGATTGTGTCACTCTATTGTTAACAAAAGAGATCTCAAAAAAATTCTCAGTTACTATAGAATGGAAAGCAAATTCTCTACCATGGCATAAAAGACCTTCAATGGCTTGACTTATTTTTTTTTTAATCACCTTCCACTCTTAGGCACAGCTGATGGGTCTGAATTATAGTAGTAACTCCATTGGTGCAAAACCCACAAGGCTCAACTTCTAAGTAGTACAGCATCCTGGAAATGAGCTAATGCAGACATTGCCATTTGCTCACTAAAAATCCATTTTCTTTTTTGTTGTGGCAGAAACTTGCCAACTGTAAACAATATCTGTGTTATCTTTCTCCATATACCCATTTAGACTGTATGATCTAATCCTCTTTATTAAGTGGGGCTATGTTTCTGAGTGTAGGTAGCAGAACATACATAGATGTGATATGTGCCATTTCCATGCCTAGTCCTTAAAGCCCGACTTACTTCTCCACACTCCCTTTCTTTCCTGGAAGCCAGATGTGAACAATACAATATCTGCAGGCCAGATGTGAACTATACAATGGAGGACGCTGAGCCTCTGAGGGATGATAGAGCCATGAGATCACAGGCATTTGGATCCCTAAATGATTACATGAAGCAGCTCCCCCACCCTCAATTTCCATTGTACTGTGATGTAAACAAGAATGATGTCTTGTGTGTGTATGTGATAATCCGTTGATATTTTATTGTTGAGTCTAATAACTTTTAGCCTGCCACATTAACACAGATATCGAGGGGTGTTGCTGCTGCAATAAAACCTAAAGAATGTGTCATTGGCTGAGTGGTTGGGCAATGAGCTACAAAGAAGCAGATACAAAAGGCTGACAGTTGAGATCCATCCTTTAATATGGCAAAATATCTGGTAAAAATAAAATATGATAACTAGAAAGGCAGATCACAAGCATACACATATAACTATGAAGAGAGGTTGAAAAACAGAACATTATTCATGAGTATAGGTTGCTATTGGATGAGTTTCGAAAGGCATTACAAGAAAAAGATCGCAAGAAATAAGTGGTTTATTTGTAGCAAAAAAGGAACAGGAGGAATTTAGAGGCTTTTTTAAGGTGGGAAAGCCAATTGATTCTGAACTCCAAAATAAGAGACATAAAAGATGAGATTGAGAAAATGGCTTTGAGCGCTGAAGACTCAGTGAGACTTTTCAGTTGAAGTGATTTACTCAGCCATATTTTAGAAAGTCAAATTAAAGGTACCTTTCCATGAAGGTCTATCCAGCTGCCATCATGATACCCTATCAAATTGAGAGAAGACGTTTGAGGATGAGCCAGCAGAGATAAAACTAGGTCTAGAAAAATACTTTAAGTGTGGTTACTGTCATATGAAAGTGACTTGAAGCAAATAAATCAGAAGCCCACTAAAATTTTGAGGGACTTCTGTTGCCAATTAGACAATGTAAAAGAAAAAAAAAACCTTTGAATGTTCAAGCTATAAAACACATTTCAGTTCCTCAAGCTTTCTCCAGAAGTAAATGAGCTGTAAAAGCTGAGCATCCCCAAAGGATGGCAACATCCCCAGTGGAGAATAATGGGAAATGAAGGGTTACTCCCAGAAAACAGAGTCAAGGTCTAATTTGGAAACTCTACCAAGTGTCAGGAAAATAACCTTCATTCACCAAGCTGGCCCAACAGGATTTCATAGACACTACAGCCAAATGACTACTTCCATTCTGCCATTCTTCAAATGGGCATGGTTATCATAGTTATTCTGCTCCACTCTGTGTATACATAGAACATACATATACTTTTTGGTGAAAAAGGGGATCAAATAAACACGACTTATAGTTCATATAGAACTACCAGACATGGCATTTGTGCTTGAGGACTGCATATCTCCTAAAGGTACTAGACTCTGAGCTAGGGGCAGAGACTAGATGAGGCATTGGCTGTCTCTTTTATGGAAGTAGCAAGCGTGTTCCATGTGTGGAGAATAAAAGTCAAAGACTGGCTTGTACACAAATATCTGTTTTAATTTGCAAACAGCTAGATGTTACTTTCCAGCCTCTTTTTTTTTTAAATAGAGCTTTATTAATTAGAAAGACAATAGTACATCATTTAGCCCATGATAAAGGTATTCATTAAAAAGTGGAGATATTTTTATTCCCAGATAATCATCACATAGAGTCTCTCTTTAGTCTCTCATTCTGCTTCATTCTCTTTGTGTCACTTTATTATGCGTATCTCCTGGGTACTCTGTACATTTTTTTCTTCTCTGTATACATCTGTGCCATGGCTTCTGGTGTCATTTCTTCTACTACACTCTTCACTGGGACTTGGCTGTGGCTGTTTTCTTATCTCTCTTTGTTTATAGCTACAGAACTGCTTTGGCTTCCCCAGATCCTATCTTCTCTGCCATGGCTTCTGCAGCTCCCCTCCTTTCTTTCAGAGACTCTTTTCTCTGGGCTATGATTATGGCTTCTGGACTTTTTGTCAGAATCGGAATGGCTCCATTTGCCATTCTCCCTAGAACTCTTGTGTTTTAAGAACTCAGGCCTTTCCTTGGCTTTTTTCCAGTTTAGGGTAACTTTTAGAAAGTTCTTTATAAAGTTTTCTCTTTTTAGGCTTGTCCTTCTCTTCAGAATCACTGTTGTTATGCCCTGAGCTCTTGCATTTCTTTCTTTTCTTCTTTTCAATATATTTTTTCCTTTAATGTCGCTCTCACTCTACTGCTTTCTGAAGTTTCAGTAGGGGAAGAGGAGGAGGAGGAGGAAGAAGAGGATTTGTTTTTATGTTTTTTGTGTGTACTTCAGATCTTCTGAAACTTTTTCTTTTTTTCTATCTCTTTTTCTTTGTTTCTCCTCCAGTTTATCTAATTTCCTGAGAAGTTTCTGTTTTTGTTTGGTTGTTAATAACTTTAAAAATTCAACTTCTGGATCTTCTTCAGTGTCACTTACAGCAAACTCCTGTGATGGATCATTTGTGGTCAAGTTTCTCTGCAGTACATTACATTGCAGGGCAAATCCACTGTTTCTCATTTCCTCTATTGGCTCTGAGGGGTGCATTGATGGCCCTGAGCCATCACTGGGAACTGAACTTGCATTGATTCCAGAAAGACCCAACAAAGTGTATTCTTGATCTCTGTTGACATGACCCCATTTGTGACATTTAATGCCCCTCACATTTCAAACCTGAATACCAAAGGGCTGATCTCTGATGTTCATGTCATCTTTGGCATATTTTTCTTGTAGGGCTCCTTTCTGCCATTCAAATTTGTATTCAGTCTCTCCTCTATTTCTTCTTTCTCTTTGTCTACTTTTTAAGCTTCTGGTGGGGCTTCATACATGAAATTAAGACCATTCTTTACAGATTCATATCCCATAACCAAGCTATTATCATACGATTCTTGTTCTTAAAGATATTGTTGCATTAATTCTTCTTATTTCTTCTTACCATGTAATATTTTCTATTCCTCCCTCCATATTTTTTTGACATTAGATTTAGAGGTGGGATGAAAGTCCTTCTTGCACATGAAGTTGGTGAAGGATTTCCCCATCTTGGAGCTGGAGCTGGGGAAAGCAGAGACTACTGGAGTCATATGACTAAGTTCTGTTCACAGGATGTGATTGGAGGGGTTGTCTACAACTTTCAGGCCTCGTCCCTCAAATAATTCTCTCTCCCTTTGTCTTCTGGCCACTGTAGAGGATCATGCAGAAGCTTTGAGGTCCTAGGATATTGTTGAAGCATCATATGGAAAAAAAGCTGATCCTTAAATGACTGCAAGCAACAAAGCCTCTTTGACAACTTTCACTGTAGTGACATAAGCAAGAAGGAAATATTACTGTTAAAAATTACCAATAGTTTTTTTTTTCATAGTAGTTAAGCTACGTTATAGTTCCCAGCCTCCCCTAGAAGTTTACTTTTAGACTGTATTTTTTGTTTGACACTTATTCAATATATATTCCATTCCTACAAAAACATTTCAGTAACTTTGGTCACAAGAGACTGTATCTCAGTACAACTTACTATGTTCATTTGGAAACCATGTATTGTCTACTCTGTGTGAGTAATCGTGGCCATATGACTGAGTTCTAGCTGGTGGAATATAAATGGGTGTTTAGTGTGCCATTTCTGGGCTAGTAGATATGACCTTTTAAGATATCTTGCCCCTTCTGTTGGGCAGATGTGGAAAGCAACCATACCTGAAGACACAGAAAAACCCACGAAGAAAGGAGCCTAATTCCAAATCATTGCATGAGAAAAGCCACCATTTTATGTAAGCGAGAAGTGAATTTCTGTTTTTACTTATATGCATATCTACTTTTTAAATTTTTAAATTTTTAATTTTTAAATTTATTTTTATTTATTTATTGATTGATTTTTGGAGGCAGGGTCTGGCTCTGCCACCCAGGCTGGAGTGAAGTGGCATGATTTTGGCTCACTGCAACCTCTGCCTCCCAGGCTCAAGCCATCCTTCCACCTCAGCCTCCCAAGTAGCTGGAACTACAGGCATGTACCACCGCACTTGGCTAATTTTGTAGAGATGGGGTTTCCCTTTGTTGCCCAAGCTGGTCTTGAACTCCTGAGCTCTAGCAATTCTCCTGCCTTAGCCTCCCAAAGTGTTGTAATTACAGGCATGAGCCACCACGCCTGGCCACATTTCTAAACCTTCTCGTAACAGCACTCAGCATTTACCCTAAATAATAAATGGGCCATATTCTTTTACATCTCTATTGCTTCCATATAGTCAGTTTGGAGCACCCTTTTCTGACTTCTTCTCCTGAAAACTCCTATTTAACCTTCAAAAACTCATCTCAAATGTTAACTATTCACTGAGCTTTTCTCTATTCCTAGGCAGTTATTTATTCCCTTTCCCAGAATAACTAAAAATTTTATGTATCCCTATTATTGTATTTCTATTATTCAGTTATGATTGATTTGCACAATCAATCATAATTGAATAATAGAAGATTTGCACAATCTTCCCTTCTTGACAGTTAAATCATAGAGAGTAGGAATTTACTTTGTATTTCCCTGTATCTTACATGCCTCACACAGAGTAGACAATACATGGTATCCAAATGAGCAAAATAAATTGTATTGAAATAATACTCTCATGTGATCAAAGTTACTGAAATATTTCATAAGAAGCATATATATATATATTGAATAAGTGTCGAACAAAAATACAGTCTAAAAGTAAACCTTATTAAAACAGATTCAGCTTTAGAACAAATAGAACTCATTATCTGTCTGTTTCAGTATATGGAAATTCTAATAATGTCATGACCCTGATGGAAGAAGATAGAAAATGCTATAATAGAGATTTTTCTTCCCACTCACCTCAGGTTAGGAAGGGATTTTAATTATTTCTACACCAATCCATTAATTATTCACAAACTCGATGATCTGAGTGCTATCTCCATTCTGTCAGAGTAGAGTTTCAGGCTTCCCTAGGCTTTTGCTGGGTATAGGTTGTTAAAATGCAGTCAATTTAGTCTTTTGTAGAAGTTTCTCGACACTTTTCTCGAGGTCTTCTATGACTGCATAGAAATCTTTGTTTCCACAGATGAATTCCAAATGTGAGAGAAAATAATTTGGAAAAATGTAATTATGTTTTATTTCAGATCCAATATCAACAATGGAACACAACTTACACAAAAAGCTTAATTTCCACTGGGTTGGTTCATGTATGACTCACTTGTATGATTTTTAAGAATCTTCTACTTTAAAATCTATCATAATAGTTAACAAAATTGAAAATCAAGAATATGAATCAGATGTATTGCAGTAACTGAATTCTCAACAGGTTTTATTTTTATTATACCACACTGTGTAGATGCAGTGACAGAAACATAGATTTAAAGTAAATAGCTCATTTTCTTTGTATTGAAAATGCCTTAAAGATAATATTGTTATCAGATTAATTCTGTTTACACATCTGAATCTATTTCTGGATAATATGATCAGAATTAATTACAAAAAGACAACCAGAGTGGACCACAATGCTATGAGTTTATCACTTCAGTCCTCTATATGTTCCTGTTTTCATTTTTTTTAGTACATACTTTCTTAATACATGGTACAGAACTCTTATTAAGTGTTCTATTTTAGATTACCTTTAAATTACAGCTGTCATTTTTTTCTGTATTTGTGAAGATCAATAAACTAATAGATACCTGACAATAGACCTAGTTGTCTCTATCTTTTGCACCTATGATTAAATTCTTACAAGCTATAACTTCCAAATTTTACATGATTATTTGAAATGTCAGCATTTTAAGCAAACATAAACTTAAATCTGAGAGATTAGCTCAGCTAAGCCATGTACTTACTACAATAAAGCCATAAAACACACACCTGGAATTACAGTTTCCCAGCATCTACTATTGCCTATTGCCAGCAGTTGAATATGTACAGAATATCAGCAGCCCTGAGGTGAAAAGGAGTACAGTGTTTGGTATCAAATCCATCTGATGCTAGTACATGAGAAGCCTTTACTTTTCCCCCCAAACACACCTTTTTAAAAAGATAAAAAATGATTAGAACAAACAAGTCAGCCTCAGTTGCTTTATGTTTGTTCCTACTCTAAATATTACTACTCTGGGGAAGCTATACCATAACACACAAATGTAAAAATATAAGGCTAGCCATGGTAGAGTCATAAGGTTACTATTATTATTTGAAATGTTAAAGTGGCTTTAAAAACTGATAAAACAGAAATCACAGTAATACTCAACAGTCAACATAAAGCATACTATTTCTGGCTCTAAAGGGTCAATGCACTAACGCTGCTGGATGTTGAGTAGCATCCTCTATATTTTGTATCAGGGAAAATAGAAAAAAGTTAGATCATTTTTCTACTTCTAAGTGGAATAGCAAAGAATCATTATAAAGTCTCTGATACAAAGTAGTACTTCAGATAGGTGAAGGTTGGTATTAAATTTCACAGCCTGATTTTCACATTCTTGTTTAAGCCTTAATTACTTGTTGTACTCAAGTTTTCAAACTATTTTAATTCATGATCTTTTCTATTACAGCACTTCCAGACTTCCCCTCAAATCTTGCCTTGTCAATCTGATATAGAAACTAAAAACTACAAACTTAACAATTATTAAACTCAACTCTTTAAAACGTTCTTGCCCCCAAAAGGATCTGACCTGCAACTGATCCACATTCTCTTGGTCAGTAATACCACCTTTTGCTCAGGAACCCGAGCCATACCTAAATCACCCTTCCCATCTTATTCCTCTCCGTTTACTTCAGCCAGTAAGTCCTAACGCCTTGTCTGTCTCCTAAAAATCTCTTTTATAAGTTTCTTTCGTCTTGTTCTATCAGTGGTTTTATTCAGGATCTTGTTATCTTTTTTCTAGAACTAGCATCCTAATTAGGCTTACTATATTTAGTATCTCTCTAATTTTACCCCTTTTCTTCCCCCAAACTTGTGTTTCTGAAAATAATTTGATCTTTTCACTATTCTGTTTGAAAAGCTCCATTAAATCCTTACTATATACAGGATAGTATAAAAATTTCTGAATTTGGCTCATGAGATCTTTTATAAGGAAGCCCCATGTTGCTTTTCTTATACTTCCTTGTCTTAGTCTCTTTAGGCTGCTATAAAATTACCATAGACTAGCTAGCTTATACACAACAGAAAATTATTTCTCACAGTGCTAGACTGAGAAGTCCAAGATCAAGTCTCCAACATACTGAGTGTCTAGTGGGAGCTCACTTCCTTTTTCATAGAAGGCCATCTTCTCACTATAACTTCACATGGAGGAAGGGGCAAGAGATTTCTCTAGGGTCTCTTTTATAAGGTCCCAAATCTCATTTATGAGGTCTCCATCCTCATGACCAAATCACCTTCCAGAGTCCCATATGAAAATACCACCACACTGGGGACTATATTTCAACATATGAAATTTGGAGGGACACAAACCTCTTTTCTATAGCATGCACCCTTTCATTATCTTATAATCCAGCCATACTGGATCACCAGTATTCCCAGAAATTACCAAGTTTATCCATACATTTGATAATCTTCTTGGAATAAGAGACTAAAGAGGAAGTATAGCTCAGTGTTGAGGACCACAAGTTTTGGAATGAATTCAAATGGAGGCCTTGAGTCTCTGCTTTGCAATTTACTAGTATTGAGACCTGGTCAAGTTACCTAAAATAATCAAGATCCAAGTTCCAGTTTCTCATCTATAAAATGAAGATTATATCACTCTTTTCAGGATTGATATGAAGATTATCTATCTATCTATCTATCTATCTATCTATCTATCTATCTATGAGATTATCTATATATAAATATGATATTCACACAATAACTGGAAAATACTAAATAATATATGGTACTTATTTAACTATGACTGTTATTACTACTATTACTATTTCTACTACTGCTGTAGTTCCTTTTGTGTTTAGTTGCTACATGTTTTGAAATTCTCAGCAACAAATATTTGTTTTTCTGAAAGTGTACTTGGTTATTAGAAACAACTGAAAGTGATTTAGGCTACTTTATTTTTAAATGGGTGATAAAATTTTATAATATTATTTTGATCTAAAATGAGATTTAATTATGAAAAAATATCCTGATAAGCCAGGTTGGATGATTAACTTTGAAAACAACTTCAACAGATCATTTTAAAAGTATTTAGAGAAACATCAACATTTTGATGTAGTTGTATGGTTAGGATGAATATTAATTATCCAAACACTTTTTGGAATGAAAGAGGAATTAATAATTACTATGCAGAGACAATAAGAATAAATGAGAGTAGTTGCTGGAAAAGCTCCCTCTCCCCCCCAAGTTAGTTCAATTTATTTTTATCTTGAGTGAGATTGAAAAAGTTGGGTTGCAAAACGTTGAATGTAGAGAGGTCTAACATTAAAATAAACACTGAAGTCAGTCGCTGTCCTGTAGATAAAGCTAAACTTACCTTTGCTAGATATTATGATATATGTGACAAATGTAACCAGAATATTAAAACCATAATTATCAATTATTTATTCATAGATAATTTAATTTTAATGAGGTAGAGGAGTAGTTTGGATATTTTTAAAGTGTGGTCACGACAAAGCTGGTCATAGGCAAGTTATAACACACCCAGCTGCCCAAAAGTCCTTTGGGCTTTTGAGACAATAAAGAAATTTCAGGGTTACCTTTAATATTTGTGTGAAGATAAGAAGACACACGTCAAGTTAAAGGAGTTACTGAGTGTTCTTTGGAGGAAATGAGATGATGAGTATTAAAAAAACTAAATAGGCATAGTGTTAAAAGGTTGTCGTCACTATTGGGGAGAATTTAAAACAGAATCCTCTTTTCTCTTTGACATCTAGTTTCGTATGTATTTTACAACTTTTTACAAGAAAGATGACATAAATTTTTTTTTCTCTGTTTGCTTAGCTGGCATTCAGTAGTCTGCACATCAACAGGAAAGAAAAAATGCGAGGAAAGTCGTTTATCTGCTAAAGAAACACATTCCTGATAGTATTCACCTGCTAAAAATCTCACATGCATTTTAATAAGGTGGGGGTAGTAAATCTCCTATGTTTTTATCACCAGCTTTATTGCATACTCATTAGGTGTGCACTATGTGTAGAATACTCCACTAAGCACTAGATTTCAAAAGTTTGCAGAGCTTTTTCACAGAAGATATTGGGCAGTAACTTTAGATGTTATGAAATGTGACTATGCTTACCCAGCCATAGAGAACAGCTTCATGAAAGAAAAACTCAGTCTGTTTTGCCTGAGTTAATAGACTCTTCCAGTGTTTGTACATGGATTATTTTTCTTATAATTTTTTCTGCATTTTCATGTTGTCATCCCTAGATCCTATGTCTAGACCACAATCCTGTACCTTCGATTTATGTTACTTTGTCCTGACATTTTAAACTAGATTCTGACTTTATGCTGCAGTTGACATAAAAACTCAATACTGTTTGAAGACCATCCCATATTCCCTCTGGATTTCACTGATAATTCACCTGGAGAGGGGAACTGACATTTCTAGAAATGCTACATCACAGAGACATAGAATTTCACAAAAATAAACTACAAGATTAGAAACTGGGAAAGGACAAAGATAGTGGATTAGAGGCTCTTAATGTGCCTCAGCCACCTGGAAATATTACAAATTCATCCAAAAATATTTATTGACCACCTACAATGTGCCCAACATCATTGAACATGTTGGGAATAGAGCAATCAAATGAGAAATGAAGTTTCTTCTCACAAGCTGCTTGCATTTTAGTATATGTTGAAATACAGACAATGCACTGGATATATATAATACACTTATCAAATAGTGGTGTGTTCTGTAGAAAAATAAAGCAGAACAATGAGGCTGGGGTATTATGGGCATGATTGGAGGTACTATGTCTTGCAGGGAGGCACAAATGCCACTCAGATAAGGTGTGGTTTGTGCAGAGACATGAAGAAAATGAGGGGCCTGAGGGATAGGTTGGGGAAGAACATTCCAGGTAAAGAAAACACCACTGCAAAGGCCCCAGTGCAGAGGTGCAGTTACTGTTTTCTTTCTTTTTCTCTTTTCCTTTTTTCTTTTCTTTTTTTCTTTCTTTCTTTTTTCTTTCTTTCTTTCTTTCTTTCTTTTCTCTTTCTTTCCTTCTTTCTTTCTTTCTTTCTTTTTTTTTTTTTTGACAGAGTCTTGCTCTGTTGCCCAGGCTGGAGTGCAGTGGCGCCATCTCGGTTCACTGGGAGGCTCACCTCCGCCTCCCAGGTTCAAGCGATTCTCCTGCCTCAGCCTCTTGAGTAGCTGGGACTACAGGTGCCCGCCACCACGCCCGGCTAATTTTTGTATTTTTAGTAGAGACGGGGTTTCATCCTGTTAGCCAGGATGGTCTCGAACTCCTGACCTTGTGATCCACCCGCCTCAGCCTCCCAAAGTACTGGGATTACAGGCATGAGCCACTGTGCCCAGCAGTTGCTGTTTTCAAAGAATAATAAGAGCAGTTAGAGTCCAACAAACATTATGGAAAATATGAAGAAATAAGGTTAGAGGTTGGCAAAGGCAGACTGTCCCCAGTCTGCAGGCCATATTAGGAATTGTGGTCTTTATTGTCTGAAATACAAAACCATTATGCATTTACAGCAGAAAGGGGATATGGCCTGATTTCCTTCTTCAAGGATTACTCTGGCTGTGTGTGGAGGATATGCCATAGAAACGACAAAATTGACAACCAAGACACTAGTCCTGAAACTATCTGAATACGTCATATGAGAGATGATAGGATTTGGATTGGGTAGGAATGATAAACATGGTGAGAAGTATTGAAATTCTGAGTATCTCTTAAACGTAGAGGCGGTAGGATTTGTAGATAAATGATCTGTTGGCAATAAGATTGAGGGGTTCAGTTTGATTCTAAGTAACTGGTAATATAAGGTTGTCATTTATTTATTAAGAGGAAAAAGCATATGTTTGTGTGAGTGAGGTGTGTGTGTGCACCTGTATAAAATATCAAGTTCAGTTTTAGATATAATATGTTTAGAGTTGCAATTAGACAGTCAAGTCAAGAGGTGAGTAGGAGCTGGACACATTTGTTTGGAGTTCACATGAGTTTAGTGCTAGAGTGTAAATTTGGGAATCCTCAGCATCTAGATGGTATTTAAAGCCCTGGATGTGGATGAGGTCACTTTGTAGTGAGTAAAGGGGGAGAAGTTCAAGGCCTGAGCATGGGAGCATTCTGAGATCTAGAGGTTGAGAGGGTGGGATGCAGCAAGAAAGAGACTGTGAAGAAAGGGCTAATGAAGTAGACGTAAGATAGAAAAGAAAGTACTAACCATGTCACATGGTTTATCTGCTTAGAGATCTAGTAAGATGTATGCTAAGAAAATATCAGCTGGGCACGGTGGCTCATGCCTGTAATCCCAGCACTTTGAGAGGCTGAAGTGGGAGGATCCCTTGAGCCCAGGAATTTGAGACCAACCTGGGCAATGTGGCAAAACCCCATCTCTACCAAAAACCCCACAAAAATTAGCCTGGCATGGTAATGAGTGCCTGTGGTCCCAGTTACTTGGGAGGCTGAGGTGGAAGGATCACTTTAGCCCTGGAGTCAGAGATTGCAGTGAGCCAAGATCATGTCACTGCACTCCAGACTGGGTAACAGAGTGTGACCCTGTCTCAAAAAAAAAAAAGTAAGATAAATAAAGAAAAGTAATTATCATTAGATCATTGGCTGTGGCAACAAGGAGTTCACTGGCGAGAGTGGCAAGGGCTATTCCAGTGGGAGACCTGGCCAAAGGCTTACTTGAGTGGACTGAGTAAGGTCATGGAGAAGATGAAGGAATGATTTCAAACATGTAAACTGAAAAGATTGGCTATTACTTATTGAGTGCTTAGGATATCTAAGCATCTCTCGAAGGACTTTATATGAATTTACTTTATATGAGGAAGTTATGTGTATTAGCTACAATTTGTAGACAAGGAAACTGAGTTAACAGAAAGCCTATATTACTTGTATGATAACATATAGTAAGTGATGTGATGGAGCAGGGATTTTTTTTTTTTTTCGGAGTCTCCCTCTATTGTCCAGGCTGGAGTGCAGTGGTGTGATCTTGGCTCACTGCAACCTTCGCCTCCCGGGTTCAAGCAATTTTCCTGTCTCAGCCTCCCAAGTAGCTGAGACTACAGGCGCCTGCCACCACACCCGGCTAATTTTTGTATTTTTATTTTTAGTAGAGATGGGGTTTCACCTTGTTGGTGAGGCTGGTCTCAAATTCCTGGCCTCAGGTGATCCACCTGCCTTGGCCTCCCAAAGTGCTGGTATTACAGGCGTGAGCCACCACGCCTGGCCGGAGCAGGGATTTTTAACCCAAGGAGTCTAACTTTAGGAATCTGGCTCTTAATCCCTATGTTATAGCAGAAGACTCTCTACAATTAGTTCCATAACTTCCTGATACTAAGACTACAAAAATGAAATGTTCCTTTTCATAGGGATAACATCGATGATGATACTTCCATCAAAATTTTCTGCAACCATTTTTCTTGCAGTTGACACTTATCTTCACCTTTCTTTTTCTGGTGGAAGGAAACAGGGAAAGTGGGATGCTATGGTTTGAATGTGTCTCCTCCAAAATTCAGGTGTTCTCAATGTGATAGTATTAAGAGGTGGGCTTTTAGGAAGTGATTAGGTTATCTACATTCCACTGTCATGAATGGAATTAAGACCCTCATAAAAGACGCTTCACACAACATTTGGCCCTTTTGCCCTCCTCCCTTCTGCCATGTGAGAACACAGTGTTATCCACTGTGGAGGACACAGCAACAAGACACCATCATGGGAGCAGAGAGCAGCTCTCATGGGACACCAAATTCCAGCACCTCGATCTTCGACTTTTCAGCCTCCCAGAACTGTGAGAATATATTACCAGTTACAGGTATTTTCTTATAGTGGCACAAACTAAGGCAGGAAGTAATATAACAGAAAATGGTAAAATAATATAGACATGAATGATGAAGTTTAGATAAAGATACAAACATTTAATAATCTTATGGCTTTCTTCTACTAAAAACAAAACACTAAAAAAAATTTCCAGTTTAGATTAATTATGGAAGGAAATAAAAAATGCACTGAAAATATTTATGATTACTACTGTTACAGGATCTCTTTGGGGTGTGGATTTTCTGGCCAGAAGCCTCTGTGGCTGTGGCACCTTGGCCTGCATCCAGGAAGAATGAGGTACAAAGACAAGTGAAGAATGAACAAGAGGAAGATGAGCTTTATTGAGTGTTTGTACAGCTAAGAGGAGACGCGCAGTGGCAGTGGGTGGCTCCCTTCTGTAGGCAGGTCATTCACCCGGTGTTCGGTTCTCAGCAAAGAGAAGGCCCTGGAGAGAGTGGCTTCTCTCTGCTCACTGGTCATCCCAATCGATGTCTGCAGCTCTCAGCAGAGAGGAGGCCCGGAAGAGGGTGAGGCCCTGGAGAGGGTGGCTCCTCTCTGCCTGCAGGTCATCTCTGCAGCTCTCAGCAGAGAGGGTAGCTCCTCTCTGCAACTGGTTGTTCCATCCTCTCTCTGCCCTTTTCTTCTCTGGCCATCCTCTCCTGTGCTCTGGCTGAGTCCAGAACTTTTATGGATCTCAGAGGGGAGGAAGTGCCTGTGGAATCATCCATGCGCAGCCACAGGCTGGCGGGAAGAGGCACCACGAGCCCCCACTCCAGTCCATGGGACTGGCAGCCTGCCCCCACCCTTCAGGCCCTCTCTGGCCTGAAGGTGAGGCCTTACTGGGGACCCACCCTTTTCCACCCAGGAATCAGTCCCCTTTTCCATCCAAGAATCAGTCTGCCTCCCGCTGCCATTCATGGCCCCTAGGGATTGGCCCCAACCCCTGCTCTGAGATTGGAGCACACTCCAGGAGTGGAGAGAGGCCAGGCAGCGGAAGCAGACACCCACGAAGCCTGCTCGGAGGATTAGGGGTGTCCTTCTTGGGTCCCCTAAGGGTTCAGGCTGCAGAGATGCCAGGGTCTTGCGCCTGGGAGGGTGGCTTCAGCTGCACCCAGGAGGGCAGATCCTGCCTGCTCCTGGCCCCCTCCAAGAGCAGACGGAGGCTCAGACCCACAGCTGCAGTTTGGGTGGGGTTCCTGCCTGTTCCATAGAGCAGGAGCCCTGGGTCTGCAGCCACAGCTTGGGTGGCAGCAGCGGCATCCAGGGAGCTCCTGCCCCAACTCAGAAGGGACAGGGCTCCCACCAGCTCCATGGAGTGTGCAGCCCCAGCACACCTCCCTGCTGCAGCTGGTACCACTGCCATCACTATGTCCCAGGCATCATGGATACCAAGTACCAGGACAAAGTCATCATTCCCTTAAAGCTTATAATCTAGTGAAAGCAGAAAAAATTAAAATATTATAACACAGTGTGACATTTTGTTGAATATTACGTTAGTGCAGGTGCAGGTACAATGGGAACACCAAACTGAAGGCCTAATCTGATCCAGACCTGGGAAGATTTCCCTCAGCAAGCATTGTGTAATTTGAGATAAGCGGAACATATGGACTGTTAGATATATACTCTGTAAAACTCTCAATGGTTAGCCTTTAGATAGATACATGTATAGATTAGGGTGAGCAAACCCATGGGCCAAATCTGGTCTTCCAGTTTTTTGTAAACAAAGTTTTACTGAATACAGCTTTGGTCATGAAATTACATATTACTACTTTGTCAACACAGTGGCTGAGCTTAGTGTCTATATGACATACAAAACAGAAAATATTTGTTATCTGGCCCTTTATAGAAAAAAATTGCCAACTCTTGATATAAATAATTTACTTGTTGCATGTATAAATTATTATAATTAATGTTTTCAAGGAATATTTGTAAATATTTGTCATTAAATTATTATATTTAAAGTATTTTTAAATTAGTTTATCAAATGAATTTTTTTTTAATTTAAAAAACATGGAAACACTGAGTGAGCTTTTTATAAGGCAATTATCAACTAGTGCTTATTAGCTGTGGCCCCCTTAAGATGGGATGAGCTTTCCAGGTCATCACTGCCCCGCCAGTCCTTGTTTTTCCTATATGTGACTCTGTCACTCATTTATATTATTTTTCTGGACCCTCTAGGATTTGAGTTTTGACCCAATGAAAGTGAATCCAAGATGAAGTCTGTCTTTCTAAGCAAATGCCAGGAAAGATAATCAATGGAAGTTCAAAGATGAAAATACAGGCTGTTGTCAGAGGATCTGGTATATGCAAATTATTCTTTTTGTATATTCTAACAAAAACTTTTAAAAATTTAAAAATTTTAAAATATTATCATTTTTATTATCTGTTTCAGAGAATTATAGGGACTGAAATGGGAGGCTTTTATCTAAGAACAAAGGAAACTCAAAAGTTTCCCAGGAAAGATAAAGAGATAGATATTTTATTTGTTCTCGAACTTCCACAGAGGCAGAAAAATATTGCCTCCATGAAAGAACAATGTAGGAAGTTAGCGAGAACACATCTAAATTAAGTTCCACTCTAATAAAGATGATAGTTCCCATGACCAATACTGTCTTTGTAATTTTACCATTGTCTGTTACATTGTCTCCTCTATGTTTCCTTCTAGCTGTTTCAGAGAATAAAGAGTTAAGGAAGGGACAAAAAAAATCACATTCCATTCTGTAGTGGACTAGAGGAAAAGTGTCCAGCTGGGAGAAGAATGGCTGCAGAGAAGGAAGCAGAAAGATGAGCTGAGAGAGTAAGTGGGGTGTTAGAAGTCAACATGGGATAACAAAACCATCTGGGGTTTGGATCACTACAGGAGGCTCTACATTGCATTGTGCATGAACAACAACAAGAGTAAATTTTGCTGACTCTGAGCTTGAGGTAAGCTCCTTAAAGTCTCTGTGGAGAAAGAGAGGCCCCAGAGTGTGGGCTGGAGATTAACTGATCCCAGATGCAAAGAAAATTACAAAAGCATAGGACATTGTGCATTTCTTTGATAAGCCGAATGTTTGGCATTTAAATTGTATCATCTGAGGTGTTGCAGAAGATATGATTCCTTTATCAAATCAAATACAAGTAAATGGATATCCCTAAAATTGTAACTTAAAGTAATGCGCTAAGACACAAGTATCCAGAGTTCACTTGAGCCTAGAAACCTAAGATAATGTTCTTTTGGAAAATGTAAATAACAGCTAATTGGGGAGATAAAGAAAGGAATTGTAAGAGTCAAGTCATATTTTTAAATCTGTGAATAGGCTAATGTGTAATTTTTTTAGAACTGCTTTATTCCCTATGTCGAGATAAGAGTGTTAATGCAGATTCACGTGAGAGATTTCCAAGATTTAGTTACTTTTACTTTATTAAGAAGTATTAAGATGTTCCATGATTCTTGCTGATTTTGTGCCTTGTTTCCTTATCCTTTTATTTCGTCTTCTCATCTTTTACTTTTTTGTATTTTTTCACCTCTTAGTGTAAGAAAGTAGACAGGATATGGAATAATTTGGCAAATTAGTTGACAGAGCAGGAGGTGCGTGGAAAAACCAAACCAAACCTAGTCTGGTTATTTCCTCTTCACTTTATCTTTTATATTAAGTTGAACTTTATGAAACTACTGATGCTTTAATGGTTTTGACCTATTAAAAAAAACAAATTCATTTGGTTCAACCTACTCAAAAATGCACCATGTCATTCCTCTTCCCAAGACAATTTCAGTTACTTCCTGTGGCTACCAATTAAAATCCAGACTCCTTAGCCTAGCTGTTCAAGAGGACTCATCAACAGGGCACAGTACTTTTCTACCACAATTCTCTAATCCAGTTAAGTTGGCCCCACTTGAAATCCACTTCCTTTAGAAGGCTTCACAGCTTAATGCAGTAACTGATTCTTTCCTTCCCCACGCTCCTAGCATTGTGTATACACGTATGCTGTAGTATACAATGCACAATTAATCATGTGCTTATCTTTTGGTCTTGCAGTACTCTGGAACATGCTATCTCAAATGCTTCTACTTTAATCACAAATTAAAATACAAACTGCTTATGGACAGAGCCATATCTATAAGCATTTAAAAAAAATCTCTCTCCATCTATTCTAATATCTTACAGCACAATTGGAATTTAATTATTTTTGGCTTTTTTGTCAATTTATTTTTGTTGCAGTTGATTAATCAAGATTTAGAGAACCCTGCCCAAATTGATATATTCTGGGGAATTTGAAAAATATAAAGCTATTATGTGGGCAGCTTCTTTTGCTAATTTATGCCTTTTTTATATACTTTAAGAAAAGATTATTTAAAGTCCCTATACTTTGTTAGAATCCAGATTCCAAACTTCAAATTTAGTTGTTTTTGTTCAATGATCTTAAGTTCAAGGGAATTGTGGTCAAGTGTGAGAAGTGCATTTGTACTTGTGAGAGCATCTCAGCCTACCATGGAAAGAATCCTTTCACATAAATTATGCAAACTGTCTAAAAGAAGAAAATTAAACCACACCTCATACAAACACTGAGCTCAAGGAAAAGAGGCTCTGTGGGGGAAAGGTAATTTTAGGCAACCCACTGAATAACTTTTCTGTGTGTGACAGTGGGACGGATGCACAGGGTACAGGGGCTGCCATGTGGTAGGTAGGGACTGCTGCAGAGCTGGCAGAGGCCCCAGGGTGTGACTGGCAGGGGCTGTCTTGCAGCAGCTGGGAGCAACAGCAGGTGGCCATGGTGAGCGTATGGCTGGCAGGAAGATGGCCATACAGCTGGCAGGGGAAACTGTGAAGCAGTAACCTGGCTGGGGCTGCTGTCAGCAATCCCAACCAGGTACCGACCCTGCTTAGAGCTCTGTGAGAAACAAGGGTTGATATCACCTGATTCTAAAAATAGTCAGCAAGGCCACATGAATTGGCAAAACAGAATATTTCATGTATGTGTTGAATGACCTTCTTTGCCATGAGTACCTATTACTGGTTATTTTCATGGCATCTTGATTTTTTCCTTTGAAAAAAAATACCAGGAAACTACAACCATTAGCAGCCTAAGGACAATTTTCACCGATAGAGACCCTTGAATCTATCCCTGTAAATGCCTAATTAAATGTTACGTATCAACCAGTAATAAGCCAGGGAAGCATCTGGCTCTTTTAACAAAGGTTTAGGATGGCAATGCTCAAAGGTAACTTTCATTTTTATAGAAACAAGGTTGTAATCTAATAATAAAGAAAGGTCACCTTTGCTGGAAATTCACATTTGTGCTTTGCAATTGTTTTAATCCAAAGTATATCCAAATGAAAGAACATTAGGGCAGCCAAGGTTAGCATTGGGCTGCTCTGGTACACACAAACACACACACACATCCCTTCTGAATGTACCCAGTGATTTGCAAAATGTTATGTGAAGAACAGTACAATCTAATAGCCGAACAAAGAGCTGAGCAAAAAGCACAGTTAGAGAATGCTTTGCCTTTATTGTGCTTGATACCATCCACAAAAATTTCCTTTTAAAACATTCATTTTTAGCAATAGGGTGTGGATTAGGAACCCTCGTGTTGGTGGTGAAGGGAACCATAGCACAATCCAGAGTTTAAGAACATGAAACTATTACTCTGAAGAATAACAGCAGCACTATTTTTAAAAGAATTATTTTTCTCTTTATGTCTTCATTTTTCACCATTTTCTCTAGTTTTTTTTTTTAATGTATTTGATGTCACCTTAACACTATCACTAAAATTTTAAGCGAGCTCTTCATGATAATAACACTCAGCCCCATTTCAAACAGCAAGTAACTCCTAATATAGTTTTTTTGTGAGAAGCAAAGTTTTGGGTGTGTGAATATGATGAGCAGGGATTTGGGTACATTTTGCAAAAGAGGGCATCTTTCTCATTTCTGGCTCTGCTGGCAATTGAAGTCACTTTACCTGCTTTGTGTTTTAATTTATTCCCCAAGAGAATGAAGGATATTCTAACATAATATTCCTCTACTATATTCTTAGGACTGATAATATGTAAAACTAGAACTTTCAAATTATCATGGGCTCCTTTAAACTAGGTTTATAAAATTAAATAGCCCATTTTTCTAATACTTTTTATACCACTCAGTAAATAATATATAGCTATAAGATTTTCCTGCTTTAAACTTAATCTACCATTTTTATTACTGTGTCAGTTATAGACCTGAATATATAAATATGCTTATTTTAGTTTAAAATAACAATTATTTGGTTGCATTCATGCTAGAAGAATATTGAAAAAATGTGGAGACAATTGCCAGATGTTTACTGCTAATTGCAATTTTTGTTAAAGCAATGTTATTTTATTTAATGTCTTAGGAAGTCCTAAGCAATGCTCACCGCTGAATGATGCGTTGCAATATCTACAAGTTCCCCCCCACGCGCCACCCCTTCTAACTGTAAGAATAGCAGCTTTCTAACATTACTACTTTGGAGAAAAAAAAATGCCTCTTAAAACTATGTTGTATTTATAAAATGGTTCTTTATAAAATCTTTTCAGAGAAATAGCTTTGAAAAATTAAATGAACTGGATTTTGATTATTTCATGGGTCTCTTTTTGTGTACAAGATATGCAAAACTGTTCCTGTGAGAACTCAGGATCAGGATGACAAAGGGCCTTCAAAAGAGTAAATAGCATTAAAGTTGATGACTTGGAGTCAGGGAATCCTGAACTGGAAACCCAACTCTTCTTACTCTCTGTGCACCTCTGAGAATTCTTAACCTCACCTACACAATTATCACTGACAAAATGGAGCGGATAATAGAAGCCTCATTACAGGGATATTGTGACAGTTCAATGATGTAATTAATGGAAGGACTTAGCCTAAAAGCTCACAAACAGTGACACAAGAAAAGAACTGGGCAGCAGTGCTAGGAACCACATCCTTTTCTTCTAAGCCTATGGCTCGTTCCCACATTACAGTACCTGGCTTTTATCTTTAGGAATTCCAGTTTCACTTTTCTCAGCTGATGTAGGCTGCTCATTAGTATTTCTGGAAATAATAGTTTCAATGGAGGCAATTCCCTGAGAAACAAAATGAAAGAAAGCAAACAAATCAACAATCGCAATATATATAACAAATCTATGGAAAAAAATAAAGCTGTAACAAATAGTCTGCTTTGTTTTTCAGGAAATTTGCACCAAAATGATTTTTTTTCCCTGTTGCCCAGGCTGGAGCGCAGTGATATGATCTTGGCTCACTGCAACCTCCGCCTTGGGTTCAAGCGATTCTCCTGCCTCAGCCTCCCGAGTAGCTGGGATTACAGGCATGTACCACCACACCTGGCTAATTTTTTTGTATTTAGTAGAGACGGGGTTTCACCATGTTGGCCAGGCTAGTCTCGAACTCCTGACCTCAGGTGATCTGCCCACCTCGGCCTTCCAAAGTGCTGGGATTACAGGTGTGAGCCACCGCACTTAGCCATAATTTTTCTTAAATGTACTTTTCAGCTTCTTTTATAATTCCTATGGAGGACTAAAGATGACTTAGGCTATACTATAAAATGTAAATAGACTTTCCTGAGTCAAATTACAAATTCTTACTGGTTTCTTGCATTGTGATTAAGAAGAAATCTATTGAGTTCCTGCCACACCCTGGCTCTGATATTGTGTGCTGGGGATTAAGTGGTCAGCAGGACGGGACTTCTCTGCTGTCCTGCAGCTTGCAGTGAAGTGGTGGAGTCAGAGATGAATTGTGTAATCATGAGTCTGAAAAGTATGGGGAAGGGGAAAGACTAGATGATTTGGGGATGTAGCAAGGGAATTTACTCTAACTTAGCTTGGTCATATATTCTCTCTGGAGTAGGTAATATATGATTTCAACCCTAATAAAGAGACAAACTGCCTCAGAGACAGGTAGCTTTCTTCACTAGTAAAATAATTTTATTGAGCCTTTATCATAAAGAATTACTTTTAAAAAATTCACTGCTGTTATTGACAGATAATATTGGATTTTTTTTCTTTGCTATGCAGAATTGAATAATAACTGGTTTGATAACCAATTGTTATTGGCTAATAATGTGGTAGGTGCTTTACAGGATTTTAACACAAATTTGTGAAGTATTATTTTCATTTTGTAGATAGTGGAAACATGGTAGACATAGAATTAAAGAACGTTTCTAATGTCACACAGGTAGAAAGTGGTGGAGATGTGTTCCAGGTCTGGTACTCCCAACAATGAGAAGTCTGTAATCTCAGAACGATAGCACCCAGTCAGAGCAAGGGAATTTATTAGCAGGAGGCTATCATTTCCATTGTTCTATTCTTTAAAATAAATCTTCATGATGAATATAATAAAGATTAAATGGAATAAAAAATTTTAGGCTTTCAGATGAAAACAATGCTTGAGCTGGTTACTGAATGAGAAGATGAGAATGTGGACTCCACAAGGGCAAGGACCTTTGCTTGATTTATTCACTGGTGAACCTAAGTGCTTAGAACACTGCCTTCTGCTGAAAATTATTTGTTGAATTAACAAAATGACAAATGATAAAAATTAACCCAAAATGAAAGAATCATTTATCATTGTGAGGAGAAAAGATGCAGCACTTTTTTGTATTTGAAGTTTTGTTAACTTCTCTCAAAATTTTTTGAATCATGTGAGACATAGTATCAGACCAATTTAATTGGTAAAATTACAGATTTAGAAATTATATAAAGCCTTGATAAAGGATTTTGATTTATCACTCTCCTGCTAAAGAAAATGGGAAGAAAAGAAATTGCTTGATATGTAATGGGATAGGTTTACTTTTTAAGGGAAAATATGAAGATGGAGTAGAAAGTTGTGTCTACGAGTGGAAGAAATGACAATAATTTTAGGGATCAAGACACAGTTTTATAGGAATGCCTCTTCACACACACACACACATATATATATACACACACACACACACACACACATGTATATATATATATATATATATTAATATCTCTTTCCTGCACGAAAAATGTGAGGACCTGGGGAAGTTGCAGGAGCAATGAAGCAATCAGAACAATATACTTATCATGGAAAACTAATTAGAAACATACAAATAGTCCTGCTAAAGTGAAACATTACCATATATATAATATATACCATATATTTTATATATACATATATATACACACACACATATATATATATATATATATATATAAAATATTACCATGTCACACAGGTAGAAAGTGGTGGTATTAGTATATATATTTATTTTACATGTACTATATATTTTAAGACAGAGTGTCACTCCGTCACTCAGGCTGGAGTGCAGTGCAGTGGCATGGCCTCGACTCACAGCAACTTCCACCTCTTAGGCTCAAGCGATTCTCAGACCTCAGACTCCTGAGTAGCTGGGATTACACGCATGTGCCACCTTGCCCAGCTAATTTTTGTATTTTTAGTAGAGATGGGATTTTGTCATGTTGGCCAGGCTGGTCTCCAACTCCTAGCCTCAAGTGATTCACACACCTCGACCTCTCAAAGTGCTAGGAATATTATCATATTTTAAAGGAAATTATTAATTGCCATTAGAAAGCATGGTCCCAGATATTGCACCTATATTTATTTCATCACGATTCATTCAATAAATTATTATTTGTGACACCTAACATGTGCCAAACACTGATTCAGTCCCTTGAAATAGATCACTGAACATAATGGACAAAGGTTCCTGATCTTATGGAACTCATATTCTTAAAGAGGGAAACAATATACAATTAAAAAATAAGAAAACTATATAGAATTTAAAATATGTGTTGTAGAAAAAAGAAAAAGGAGGGTGGGATAAGGCGTACTGGGAGAGGTGGTGGGCAGGCAGTTACAATTTAAGTAAATTGGTCAGGGTAGACCTTAATGAGAAGATGATATTTAAGAAGAGGAAGAAGAAGAAAAACAAACACAGTGAGGAAGTTAGACATGCAAATATCTGGGAAGAGCATTCCAAGCAGTGGGAACAGATGGTGGGAGGTTCTTAACGCAGGAGCATGCCTGAAATGTTTGAGAAAGAGCAAGAGGCTGCAAGAGCAAGAGAGAGAACAGGGGGAGGTGAGGTTTGAGAGGAAGGACAGCCAGGTCATGACTGTGGCATTGTAAGGCCTCAGGCATTTATTGGGTGCAACCTAGGGAGACATTTGAAAGTCTTGTACAGAGTGATGGCATGAGCTGACCTATATTTTTAAAGGATTACTTTGTAGGGGTTCAGTAGTGAAAAAGAGAGAACTAGTGAGGAGACTTGGAGCTTTTAAGGCAAGAGGGGATGGTGGACAAGGGTGGTTGTGGTAGACATGGTGAGAAATGATCAGGATATGGGCATATTTTAATTTACTGATAAATTGGTTGTGAGAATTAACAGAAAGAGAAATTACTTTCAAAGAACTGATTTTAAGCTTCTGACATTAAATTAAATTTTGGTGAGCATGAAATGTAAAACCAGCATGAACTCTGCTGTGGTTTTAATGTGTCCCCCCCAAAAGCATGTATTGGAAACTTAATCTGCAATGCAGCAGTGTTGAGAGGTGGGGCCCGTTGGGAGGTGTTTAGGTCAGGAGGGGTCCACTCTCATGAACAGATTAATGCTGATTCGAAAAAGGCTCAAGTCTGGGAGTTTAAGCTCTTTGTCTCTCTTACCCTGTTTTTGCTCTTCTGCCATGGCCTTTGTCAAATGCTGGCCCTTCAATCTGGAGATTTGACTTCCCAACCTCCAGATCCATAAGCCAATAAATTTATGTTCATTATAAATTACCCAGTCTCAGGTATTCTGTTATAGCAGAACAAAATGGATTAGGACAACCACCTCACTTTATTGAGGAATTTTAATTTTAATGGAAATATTTTAAATAGTTTAATTATCTTGGATCATTGATTTCACCAGTGATTTTTTTAAAAACATTTTAATTGTATAAGGATAAATAGAGTATGCCTAGGATTTAAATCCTGGAGGTAGATTTGTATCAACTTTGGAATACGTTTTAAAAAGCATTAGATGTCAGATATTCATCCAGAACAATTGGCTGAGACTCTCTGAAGGTGGTGCCTGGATGCTAATATGTTTTAGTTGAAAAGTTCCCCTGGTGATTCTAATATGTAGCAGATTAGAAAGCTTGAAATATTGCTCATTTGTACTAAGTCAGGAGAAGAATTGCCCCCTGAAGGGGAAGAAGTCTGTAACTTGATCTTGGTATTCCAATAACATAAGTTTAATTTTTTCTGAATAATTTAAAGGCAAAGATTCAAGCACCCAAAATATTTTCTTTTCCACTTAGCTCTCATGCCCAGTAAGGGTAGCCATTTATAATAGCTTTTTAGCTAGAACTCCTAGAAATTAGTGCTTGCTCTCAGGAGATATACATATTAATTCTGAAAGTGATATTGATGCCAAGCCTAGCGTGAGGAAGGAAGCCATGTTAATCACATGGGTTTCAGCTCCATTAGAAACACCAGAGAGGGAGAGAAATTCCTTTTTGCCAAATGGAAAATGTCAAAAAATCAGCAGGGTAAAAAAGAACTGGATTTTCATGCTTCTAAGAAGGAGGAAAATATAAGCAAAATAGAGACTAAAAAAATGCAAGTTAATTCTCCTAAAGAAGTTAATTTGGTACATGTCCATCATTAATTCAAGGATATTACCCTTTTAAAATTACCATTTCTTTAAAATAAAAATGTCTTCTTTTGCTTCAAGCTTCTTCCAAATCATGTCGTCTCTCTACCTGCTGTTCCAAAATACTGGTCTAGGCTTGGTAAACCATGAATCTGTCCTTACCTGCTGGTTTAAGTCTTTGAATTGAGAGTCCTTCTGCTGTTATTCTTTCTACATCCGTCTGCTCACTGGCAATGTTAAAAGATGCTGTTAAAGGAAAAATACAGACAATAAGATCATTTTTGAAATATTTTTTGGAGCAGAATGCATTTTCCTTACTAAATTATATACGATACAGTCTTTGAAACCACACCTATTATATAAACAAGTTAAATCTTTAGTATGAACAGTCTTATTAAGGCTTGACAATCCAAATTTACACTGAGAAGTATAACTTCATAATAACGAAGACAAGGAAATCTAATCATATGAAATAAATGTTTGCTAGCAAAGTGGGTTATATGAGAACTGTTGTACAAAGAACCACAATGTATTACTATCCTTGAGGGAAAAAAATCAGGATAAACTTATACATATCCATAACATAAATATATAATACAATGACATATACAATATACATATACAATGTGATATATACACATTGACTTAGCTGAAAACTTTAATCATAGGAGAATATCATATGGCATTTGACTCTGATACATACGGGATATTGGAGAATACAACCAATAACACATGTGCTGAACAATATAACCCTCTCAGCAACTGAGATTTCCCAGGTATTCTAGAACACTCCTTTCACTGTATTCCTGAGCACCCAATAAATCACTTTTCTGCTTCCCTTAGACCGGTGTGGTGGCTCATGCTTGTAATCCCAGCACTTTGGGAGACCGAGGTGGGTGGATTGCCTGATCTCAGGAGTTCATGACCAGGCTAGGCAATATGATGAAACCTTATCTCTTCCAAAAATACAAAAATTAGCCGGGCATGGCGGTGTGCACCTGGGGTCCCAGCTACTCAGGAGGCTGAGGTGGGTGGATCACTGGAGCCCAAGAAGTGGAGGCTGCAGTGAGCTGCAATTGCACCACTGCACTCCAGCCTGAATGACAGAGTGAGACCTGATCTCAAAAACATTAATAAGTAAAAGTAAAAAATCTTCTTTACTTTTTCTTCCTTATTTATATATTATAGAAAGTGAATAAAATTGCAACATATAACATCAGGCTATGTTATCTAATAATACTCCATATAATACTATATTTAGCATAAAATTATCCGTAAGTGGAAAGCTCATCATATTTGAGGTATTAGGCTTCATTATACATATAGATCTGGAGGCAATAATTCATTTAACTTAAAACAAATTGTGCACTTGTGGTTTCAGCCAGCTTTGAATCCTACTTTGGCCACTTAACCTCCCTGTGCCTCAGTTTTACTACTTGTTAGATTGGGATAATAGTAGTACTTATTTAGAAGATTGGTGGGAGGAATAATTGATTTAATATATGTAGAATACTTAGAATAATGTCTGGCATAGAGTAAGTGCCTTATAGCTATAGGCTATTACAATGTATTTGCTATTATCAAAATTATTAGTTTGGTATTATGTAACATGATTCCCCAAAAGACCAGTTTTGACATTTCATAACAAAAGGGAAAAGAGTTAATTTAATTATTTAAAAGCTTTGCTTGTAGATAATATTGCATTACTTCTCCCACCCCTTGCTTAAGATCTAAAGAAATTAAGATACCACAGTAAGAAAGGAACATTAAATTAATAAACATATATACAGAATGTTCCATGGGTTTAAAATACAAGCTTGCTCCAAACTGCATATCTGGAAAATACCTATCAAAATCATTCAGAGAATTTGGCTCTTGGAATGTGATTCATTATAGTTCATTGACAAATAGTGGATAGCATTGCTTGGTTAAAGAAGTACAAAGATTATTTGAAATGCATTGACGGAAGTGTTCATAGAATGAAATGCATAAATAAAAATGAGGAGTATTGTCAGTTTCTCATTTACTGCATAGAAGAGATTTAGCTTTGATGACATACCTGATAGTTTAGAAAGCTCCAGTTCATATTGAAATTCAAACTCTTTTAAAAATAATTTTAATTAAAATTCAAAGGAGTCTAGGGAATTATATCATTAACCTTTTCCTGCTAGAATTTAAGGGATCACTTTTTAGGTCAACGTGAATAATGAGTTAGCTAGTCTCATCCAAATGTCCATTTATACAGCTCCCCAAGCCAAAAGCAGGATTATTAAATCATCAGCCATTTGGCAGTCTTTGCCAAAAGAAAAGTGCCAAATGGGGGTTTTAGGTCATGACTGTCTTCAATTGACGATGCTGCACGACAAATTTAGTGAAGCATTTTCTTGATTTAATTCATTGCTATCTGTACCTGACTCATTCAAAAAATTCTAGAAATAGTTAAAGGCCTGCCAAAGAAAGGAGTGAAACAGGTACAAAGAAGAAGATTGGGAACACAAAAATATATTCAAAAACATTTATCAGAGCTCTCTGTAATATGTTTGATTGCATCTGTGTTTGCACTTTGTGATTGAAAAATAGTTAAGGGAATAGTGGTAATCACTTGTCAGGTTATTGTGAAATTTCAAATTTGAAACAAACAAAAAAGGCAAAAGAAATTGAAAGAAGTGTGAGTGTTTGAGGAAGACTTCTTTATTGGGGTTGACATATTCCTAGATAGCACATAGGAAGTAACCTGAATAAAAGGCAAGAGGGAAAACAAGATTATGAGGAAGATAAAGACTATCAAAATCAGTGAAACTATGCTGGTGACCAGAAAAACTGATGGAGAAGATAAAGGAGAGAAGTTTGAACCAATAGTGCTATAAAGGCAAGTAAGTTTCTTTCCACCTCAGCACAACTAAGATATTTAATAGGAAATGCAGTCTTTGTTTCTCTGAACTGTACAGAGAATTTTCAGTCATTAGCAGATTTGAGGAAATCTGTCCCTGGCCCCAAGAAAAGCTGAGGCAATTGATGTCTCGGGACTCAAGTCTTTTGTGGACGGGCTATTGTGAAAAGGGTGGGGTATAGTCTTCCCATATTCAATATTGTTATTGTGGCAGAGTATCTGATGGCATTTTTGAAATTATCATCTTCCTGTTGATGTATATTGGGACAAATGCCACTGCCAGAGTACAATCTCTGAGAAACTATGAACTTCCAAGTAGAAAACTGAAAAGGGCTCGAAGATACAGCTGATTTTATCTTTTTTATAAAATGGAAGATAATCATGTTTCAAAAGAAAGAAAATTGGGAGTAAACAAATGGCTGCTGAGTAGAAGGACAGGGCATTTTTCTTTTACATGATTTAAGCATTAATAATGTGTCCCTTGATTTGGATTGAATTACTTGGAAAGGATAGAAAAAGTGACCCAGACACCTGACAATCTGATAGTAGGATTTTAACCTAAAAGTGGAGAGAGGAGAGAGAGAAAGAGAAACCCTTTAATTCAATGGAAAAAAAAAGGCCAGAATATGTAAATTATGAGAACTAAATTTTGTAGAGTACTTTTTATAGACTGCAACACTGTTAAGTATTATATGTTTTTTTTATGTATTAGATTGTTTAATCATCTCTACTTACTTATTGGATAGGTTTTTTCCTCTTTTATTTTTTCTTTTTAAAAATATTCACATATACAGGAAGAAAGTGGGGTCTGAAGAAATTAAGAAACATGATCAAGATCATACTGTTAGTAAAATCTTAAAGTCAGCAGTCTAACTCCCGAGCCCATGTACCTAAATACATGGATAGTACCTAAATACTATTCTCTCTTTCTGATATAGATATGTCACAATAAGAGGAGCAATAATAAAGTATCAAGCAATTCAGGTAAAAAATGTTGAAAATATTAACAGACATCCAAATAAGGTGATCATATAATAAAATAAAGGTAAAATTTACTTAGAGTTAATAATTTCCAGCCAGATGGAGAAAATGAATATACACTTTAAGGAAAAAAATGAAAATGAAAGTGACCAAAAATACACAAGTTTCTACAGTTATGGGATTTTCCAGTTATGTGGATCCATTTAGAAGACAAATTATAGAAGGATAGTAGTTGATCCCTTTATGACTGATTGTATTTGTCTGCTATGACCAGCATAACATGGCCACATAGATTGGTGTAAACAACCAAAATTTATTGTCTCATAGTTCTGGAGGCTAGAATTCCAAGATCAAGGAATTAGCAGGGTTGGTTTCTTCTGAGCACTATTGGAGACAATCTATTGCATTATTTTCTCCTAATTTCTGGTTGTTTGCTGGCAAACTTTGCTGTTCCCTGCTTGCAGATGCAAATTTCTCCTTCATCTTTACATGATGGTCTCTCTGTGCTTGTGTCTGTGTCCAAATTTCCCTTTTTTATAAGAACACTAGTTATAATGTGTAAGGGGCCTACTCTACTTCTGTATAATGACATCTTAACTAATTACATCTACAATGACACTATTTCCCAGTAAGGTCACATTTTGAGGTACTGGATGTTAAGACTTCAATATATACATTTCTGCTGGGACACAATTCAACCAATAAAAATGGACTTGAATAAAATTTTTATTTCTCAGAATGCAGAATAAGTTATAATTGGAAATACTACTCTGAACTTGATTGAGACCATCAACTAACGGTGTTTGCATATGTGTAGATATTGGAAGCAAATGGTTGCAACTAAAGAAGGGAACAACACATCACATGTGTAGTTGAATATTCAAGAAGGCAGATTTTAATAGGTAATATTAAAGATATTTATGGAATCTTCTGTCCTGGGACTTTAAAAGGAAAAGTGGCTTAGCAACGATTGATAACGCAAAAAAAAATTAAAAAATTATAATGGATCCCTACATTGAGGGTTAAAAGCTGGCATTGAGGAAGAGAGAAATATACTGGCATTGCTCTTTCTAGAAAGAGCTTTCTGAAGAACTCAAGTTTACAGCATACAGCACCAACTAACATTTAGATTCTGTTGATTTAAAGTAAAATTTGTCATGTACAAAACATGGAAATTGGATGATATGACCAAGAAGTAGTATTAACAGTTCTATAAACTTGTATAAATTATGTGAAGAAATCTATAACTGAATAAAATGTGGCTTCAACAAAAAATGTCAAAGGTACCCAAAGGCTTTTTTAAGGCATGTGAAGAGCAAGGAAGACAAAAGTATGAATAATTCTACCACTTGGGACAGATGGTATAATGTTAACAGAAAACAGGGGAAAACAGAAGACCTTCACTCATGTGGGATTTTTAGCTATTTTGTTATAGAAAACAACCCTTCAGCTACAGAGGGTAGAACACATATTGACAAGTGGGAATTGAACGTCAAGTGAAGTGATACAATTGATAGAGTAGACGTGGTGTTCCTCAGGATCCAGACACACTGTATTATAGGTTTCAAGGGAAACTGGGGAAGAGATGTCTACATGTCTGCTTCTAATACGTTTTCAAGACTTGTAGGAAATGAAAGAAATGATAAAAAAAATTGGGGGCAGAAAATAACATCCTGGTTTCTAACAAATAGAGGACAAAGAGTGGACTATCTGTATTGCAGATTAGTGAGTTTGAATTAATTCCATAGCAAGATCTATATGACAGGAATTTGACAAACTTTGGTTGTCCCATGTCTTATGGTTTTCCATGCTCTGGGGTTCTTAGAGAAATCATAAGGGACTGGGGTGAGGGTGAGGAAGGACTATCAGGAGAGGCAGAGTACCTGCACTAAGATCCCAATCAAAACATCAACATTTTCCTTTTTTCAGATAAGACTTTAGCTGAGGAGAAGGGTTCTATGATTTTTTTCAATTATGAAAAAACCCACCATATAATAGATTACTAAACCCTTGTTTTGTGAACACTTGGAGAGGATTTCAGTAAGCACCTCTACCTATAGTGATTTGAAGGAGGATCGATAATGAGAATTTTTCTTTCCCTTTTTTTATTTTCCTTCTCATTTTTTCTTCCTCTACCTTCCCTCCTCCATTCCTAATCCATCTTTTGCTTTTGTCTTTCTTCTTTACCTTTCCCATTCCTTTTCTTTTTCTAGCTTATTACGATTTTAAGGAAATTTTCTAAACATGTAGAATATTATTTCTTGTAAGACATTGACTGTAACTTTTGATAACCTTGTAGATGAGACAAAAGAATGGAAGATGAATGGCATTATAATTAGGTAAAATTGTAAGTAGTTGATTAATTGGATGCAAACTTTGAAAATTTAATAATGTAACATGGAAAGATATCTCAAGTAAAGTCCCAGAGCTCTATTCCCTTTATAGTAATACCCAACATTTTAAATTAATAACTATTTCAATTAATAAAGCATGCTGATCGAATTCATATACTTTACATGAAGCTGTGAATAATAACAAATTTATTTTTAACTTACTTCTTTTAAAGCTTCTCAGCAGGCTGGAATGGGACTATAACTGATATATCATGACCACACCAACTGAGGGTGTGGAGTAGGTCACCCATTGGGGATGGAAAAGGGAGGCTTCGGCCATGCCTGTGGAGAAGAAACCAAGTCAGTAATCTGCAAGAAGGCCCATCTGGTCACATGAAGGTCAATCTCATGGTCCCACAATAAAAGCCAACTTCAGAAGCCATTTATGCCAAGAGAGACTGTAAGGTACCTGCACCAGCTGGAGGAGCAGATGAAAGCGAAGAAGTGCTGCGCTACCACAATTATGCGAATGTGCACCCAACCATGAGCAATACTTTCATTCTGTTCTTGAGGCTCCCAGCTTCTGACACAAATGAGCTAGGGAAATTTAAAAATGGGAACAGATGAAGTAAGAGGGAAAGATTTTTGAGAATTGAAATAAGATCTGAAAGGAAGTTGTAAGCATTGATTGAAATATTAATACATTAATTGCATTAGACCATCAGCTCAATGTATGTTTTGATCCATAAATGGCCATGACTATAAGTGGCAAGATTAAGTAGTCACTGTCAATAGGATTAAAATCCCATAGGGAAGTTTAATTTTGCTAAATAAAAAAGAAACCCCTCTCTTTCTTTGTCTTTAACTTACCTGATTTGATACTGTTCCATTTTATCTATCTCTATTTAATAAGCAAAGCACATTGAACTGTACCTGGAACTTTGTAAGTGCTCCATAAATTATAGTTTTTATAAATAGAAGTCCTATTTTATAATATGGTGCCTAGATCACACGTGGAAAATTATAGTCAGTTTAAGATGAAAATTGATAAACTAGGGTATATCACCCCAAAAAACTGTCCAAGATAATGAGTATCATTCTTGCCCTAAGAATAGAGACAGTAACACTACCCAAATGGCTCAACAATACAACTACTGTGTATAAAGTAAATGTGGGGGAAAGGAGCAATGCTGTGGCTGCTGGGAGAGAAGGACAATCCATGGTTTATAGTAAATGAGGAATGAACAAAGCCAGACATCTAAGCATTCAACTTTGTTATGGGAAAGCCAGAAGGAGTGGATTTCCCACTGTAGCTTAAGAAAGGTGATTATTTTAGAATATTGCATAAATGTATAAAGGAAAAGAAATGTAGTAGAATCAACTCCATGCAAAATTAGGGGCTAGTTATGACAATGGGTTTTAGAGTGGCATGATATACAGTGTGGCACTATGCAGGTATGGGTTGAAAATTAATAATTATCTTAATACATATCAGGTTGTTTATTAACTTTCTATTATTATGTTATGAGTTGGGTTAGAAAATACAAAGGAACAAAGACAAAATGAGTCCTCTGATAACCTGCAGTTTAGTAAAAACATAAAATACAGAAATAAATTGCATTATTATAAAAGAAACATGTGCTGTGTTCAATATAGGCACAGACGAGAAGGGAGTATCAGGAAAGATTCTCAAGAAAAGGAGATAATTGAATTTATGTTAAAAAGATAAATATGTTTCCTCCAAGTTGACTAGGAAAGGTCTTTCAGATAAGAGGCTATCATAACATTAAGCACAAGAAAGTTAAATTATTATGAAACAGTGTGGAAAATTCAAAGTGCCAGGAATTCAGTACTATTGGACTATAAGAGGTTACCAGGCAAATTATCTGACTTCAGATTTTACTTCAGATCATGGTGCTGGCATAAAACAGCATGGTACTGGCATAAAAAAGACACACAGCCTGATGGAATGGAACACAGAACCCAAAAGTAAATCCATATATCCACAGCGAACCCATTTTTGACAAACGTGCCAGGATCATACACTGGAGAAGGAACAGTCTCTTCAATAAATGGTGCTGGGAAAACTATATTTCCATGTGCAGAATAATGAAATTAGGACCCTATCTTTCACCACATACAAAAATCAAATAAATATGGATTGAAGACTTCAATCTAAGACCTCAAACTATAAAACTACTAAAAGAAAACATTGGGGAAACTCTACAGGACATAGGTCTGGGCAAAGATTTCTTGAGCAATACTTCAAAAGCACAGGCAACCAAAGTAATAATGGACAAATGGAAATACATCAAGGGTGTGGTAGCTCATGCCTATAATCCCAGCATTTTAGGAGGCTGAGGCAGGAGAATCACTTAAGGCTAGGAGCCTGAGACCAGCCTGGTCAACAGAGCGAGATCTTGTTTCTACAACAACAATAAAAAAAGCTAATGTGGTGCTGTATGCCTGTAGTCCCAGCTACTTGGGAGGCTGAAGTAGGAATACTGCTTCAGACCAGGAGTGAGCTATGATTGTACCACTGCACTCCAGCCTGGGTGACGGAGCAAGACCTCCGTCTCAAATAAATGATAGATAGATAAATAAATAAATGATAGATAAATAAATAAATACATAAATAAATGGCTTCTGCACAGCAAAGGAGGAAACCAAAAAAGTGAAGAGACAATTCACAGAACTGAAGAAAGTGTTTGCAAATTATGCATCTCACAAGGGATTGATAACTAGAATATATGAGGAGGTCAAACAACTTGGTAGGAAATAAATCTGATAATCTGATTTAAAATGAGCAAAAGATGTCAATAGACATTTGTCAAATGAAGACATACAAATGGCCAACAGGTATATGAAAAATTATCAATATCACTAATCATCAGATAATTCAAATCAAAACTACAGTGAGATATGATCTTACCCCAGTTAGAATGGCTTTTATTCAAAAGAAAGGCAACAACAAATGCTGGTGAGGATGTGAAGAAAGGGGAACCCTCATATACTGTTGTTAGGGATATAAATTAGTATAGCTACTATGGAGAATGTATGGAGGTTTCTCAAAAAAAAAAAAATCTAAGAATAGAACTATTACATGATCCAGCAATCCCACTGCTAAATATATACCCAAAAGAAAGGAAATCAGTATATTGAAGAGATATCTGCATTCCTATGTTTATTACAGCACTATTCACAGTAGTCAAGTTTTAGAACCAACCTAAGTACTCATCAACAGATGAATGAATAAAGAAAATGTGTTTTTTCCCTAAGATATCAGAGTAGAGGCTTTTAATGTGCCTCGGCCACCGAGAAATAGCAAGATAGTGCATAAAGATCAACTCTATGATCTTTAATTAGAGAAGGAAAACAGGCTCCACCAGAATCATAAAGGACACCCCAGATACTGGGGAGGAGCCATCTATGACAAACCCAGAGCCAATATCATACTGAGCAGGCAAAAACTGAAAGGATTTTCCTTGGGAACTGGGGCAAGACAAGAATACCACTCACACCACTCCTATTGAACACAGTACTCAAAGTGTTAGCTAGAGCAATCAGGAAAGAGAAAGAAACAAAAGGCCTCCAAATAGGGAAGAAGTTAAACTATCATTTTGGATAATATGATTCTGTACCTACAAGACCCTGAAAACTCTGACAAAACACTCCTGGAACTGATAAGTGACTTCAGTAAAGTTTTGGGATACAAAGTCAATGTACAAAAATCATTAGCATTTCTACACATCAATACATTCAAGTTAAGGACCAAATCAAGAAAGCAGTCCAACTTACAATAGACACACACACACACCCCCCTAGGAATACATTTAACTGAGGAGGTGAAATATCTCTACAAAGAGAACTACAAAACACTGCTGAAAGAAATTATAGATGACACAAACAAATGGAAAAACATTCTGTATTAGTCTGTTCTCATGCTGCTAATAAAGACATACAGAAGACTGGATAATTTATAAAGGATAGAGATTTAATAGACTCACAGTTCCACATGGCTGGGAAGGCCACACAATCATGGTGGAAGGCAACACAGCAGCAAAGTCACATCTTACATGACAGCAGGCAAGAAAACATGTGCAGGGGAACTCCTCTTTATAAAACTATCAGATCTCATGAGACTTATTCATTATCATGAGAACAGAATGGGAAAGGCTTCCCCACCCCCATGATTCAATCATCTCCCACCGGGTCCCTCTGATAACACATGGGAATTATAGGAGCTACAATTCAAGATTAGATTTGGGTGGGGACACAGCCAAACCATATCACATTCCATGCTTATGGATTGGAAGAATTAATACTGTTAAAATGTCCATACTGTCAAAAGCGATCTACAGATTTAATGCTATTCCCATCAAACTTCCAATGCTATTTTTTACAGGACTAGAAAAAAACCATCGTAAAATTTATATGGAAACAAAAAAGAGCCAAAAGAGTCAAAGTAATCCTAATAAAAAGAACAAACCATAAGCATCACATGACCCAATTTCAAACTGCAATGTAAGACTAGGGTAAGCAAATCAGCATGACACCAGTACAAAAACAGCCACATAGATCAATGGAGCAGAATTACGAACAAAGAAATAAAGCCACACACCTACAGACATTTGATCTTTGAAAAAATTGACAAAAATAAACAATGCAGGAAGGATTCCCTACTCAATAAGTGGTACTGGGATAACTGGCTAGCCAGATGGAAAGAATGAAACTGGACTCCTATTTTTCACCATATACAAAAATTAAATCAAGATGCATTAAACATTTAAATGTAAGATGTCAAATTATAAGAATCCTAGAAGAAAACCTAAGAAACATCATTCTGGACATTAGCCTTGGCAAGTAATATTTTTCCTCAGCCTGCTGACGGCCTCTCAGTTTTGGAAATCTGAGTCTCCTTACTCCTCAGCCTGCAGACAGCCTATTGGGAGACCTTGTGATCATGTGAGCTAATACTTAATAAACTCCCATATATATATATATGTATATATACACATATACCTATATATTCCATTAGATCTGTCCCTCTAGAGAACCCTGGCTAATACATATTTTGGTACCAGGAGCGGTTCTAGACGAAAAGAATATTAAGGATGGAATTCTTTCATTGGTTTGGGGGTTTCTGGAGTTGGCTGCTTAATATGATTAGACCCCAAAATGCTAAGGATTCTACTTCTAATTGTATGGAGAACACTGATAGTCCTGAGAGTGAACTGTTTAGAGAGCTATGCAAAATAAATGCAGTTGACACTCCTGATTCATTGCTCATGAAAGGCAAGGAGTTTAGTGACTCTGTACATAATACCTTTGACCATATGTGGAGAACCAAGGAACATAATGAGGCTGGTTGGTTGCTCCTAAGTTCAGTGGACAAAGTGAGGAAAGAAAATGATGAACTCAGTGATTCTATCTCCCAGCTTCCGAAGCAGATACTGAACCTCTGAACCTCAAATCTGCTTAGAGTGCCCTGAGTGAGTCTTATCTCCTGTAGAGAGAGAGCTAAAACTGTGGAAAAACAGACACAAGCTCTTATCATGCAAGTGGCTGACCTGCAACAAAAGGTGCATGCACAGCCTCACTAGGTGTCTACTGTTAAAGTGAGGGCATTGATTGGAAAAGAACAGGACCCTGCAACTTGGAATAGGGATGTGTGGGAGGACCCTGATGAAGCTGAGAACACTGAGTTTGTAAACTCTGATGAACCTTTTTCGCCAGAAGAGACAACTTTCCCATCCCCAGTAGTGGCAACATACCCTTCCTGACCCAGGCTGCCATCAGCCTTTCCATCTTTGTCTGAGGAGATAAACCCTGCACTGCCTGAGGCAACAGCGGTGGCCTCCCCTGAGGCAGTTACCAGGCAAGATAATGTTGATTCTCTTCAGGAGCCACCCCAACACCCCTGTTTGCTTCTAGACCTATAACTAGACTAAAGTCCTGGAAGGCCCCTAGAGGGGAAGTTCAGAGTGTGACCCATGAGGAGGTGCACTACACTTGAAAAGAACTGCTTGAGTTTTCTGATTTATATAAACAGAAATCTGGAGAACAGGCATGGGAATCGATATTAAGGGTATTGGATAATGGTGGAAGGAACACAGAGTTGGACTAGGCTGAATTTATTGATTTGGGCCCACTAAGTAGGGACACTGAAGTTAATGTTGCAGCTTGGGGAGTTATAAAATGTTCTAATAGTTTATTGTCTTGGTTAGCTGAAATATGGATTAAAAGATGGCCCACTGTGAGCAAACTGGAAATGGCTGATCTCCCTTGGTTTATTTAATGTAGAGGAAGGGATCCAAAGGCTTAGGGAGATTGGGATGGTGGAGTAGATTTGTCACTTCAAACCTACTCATCCCAACTGGGAGGGTCCAGAAGACATACCCTTGACCAGTGCCTTGTGCAATGGATTTGTAAGGGCAGCACCTGCATCTTTGAAGAGCCCTGTAATTGCTCTTCTCTGTATGTCAGATCTAACAGTGGGAACCACAGCCACTCCACTACAAAATTTAAATAAATTGGGAATAATTAGATCCCAAGGTGGCAGGTGCCAAGTGGCAGCACTCAACTGTCAAAGACAAGGTGGGCTTAGTTATCGTAATGGATAGCAGAGGCAAAGCAGCAATCAGAATAGTTTGACTTTTCTAGAGCTCTGGCATTGGCTAATAATGGTGTTCCTAGAAGTGAAATTGATAGTAAGCCTACAGCATTCCTACTTAATGTATACAAGCAGAAAACTTCTAGGTTGAATAGACAAAGGACTAATTTGAATTATAAAACAGAGAATCATGGCCCCTCAATCAATTTCCAGACTTTATCCAGTTTACAGACCCAGAACCCTTTTAATGAAGGGGAGGCTGGGTCCCCTTAAGGAAGGACCCCACTACGTTACTGACAATTTATGCAATGAATCTTTCTCCCATTCTTCCCCAAGAAGAGCTCTGGCCTTTTACCAGGGTAACTGCACACTGGGGAAAGGGAAATGATCAGATATCAGATATTTTGGGGACTACTGGACACTGGATCTGAGCTGACATTGATTCCAGGGGACTCAAAACGTCATTGTGGTCCTCCAGTTAAAGTAGGGGCTTATGGAGGTCAAGTAATTAATGGAGTTTTAGCTCAAGTCTGACTTACAGTGGGTCCAGTAGGTCCCCAGACTCATCCTGTGGTCATTTCCACAGTGCCAGAACAGAATGCTTAATTGGCATAGACTTTCTTAGCAGCTGGCAGAACCCCCACATTGGCTCCCTGACTGTGGGGTGAGGGCTGTTATGGTGGGAAAGGCCAAATGAACTTGGCCTTAGGTAGAGCTGCCTCAACCTAGAAAAATAGTAAATCAAAAAGAATATCACATCCCTGAGGGATTGTGGAGATTAGTGCCACCATCAAGGACTTGAAAGATGCAGGGGTGAATGATTCCCACCATTCAACTCTCCCATTTGGCCTGTGCAGAAGACAGATGGATCTTGGAGAATGACAGTGGATTATTGTAAGCTTAATCAAGTGGTGACTCCAATTGCAGCTGCTATACCAGTTGTGGTTTCATTACTTGAGCAAATTAACACATCTCCTGGTACCTTGTATGCAGCCATTGACTTGGCAAATGCCTTTTTCTCCATTTCTGTCCATGAGACCCACCAGAAGCAATTTGCCTTCAGCTGGCAAGGCCAGCAGTATATTTTCACTATCCTACCTCAGGGGTATATCAACTCTCCAGCTTTTTGTCAATCTTATTCTGAGAGTCCTTGATCACTTTTCACTTCTGCAAGATATCACACTGTTCCATTACATTAATGACATTATGGTGATTGGATCCAGTGAGCAAGAAGTAGCAAACACACTGGACTTATTGGTGAGATATTTGTGTGCCACAAAGATGGGAAATAAATTCAGGAAACTTCTATCTCAGTAAAATTTCTACAGGTACAGTGGTGTGGGGCCTGTCGAGATATTCCTTCTAAGACAAAGGATAAGTTGCTCCATTTGGCTCCTTCAACAACCAAGAAAGAGGCACAGTGCCTAGTGTGCCTATTTGGATTTTGGAAGCAACACATTCCTCATTTGGGTATGCTACTCCAGCCCATTTATCGAGTGACCTGAAGGCTGCCACTTTTGAATGGGGTCCAGAATAGGAGAAGGGTCTACAACAGGTCCAGGCTGCTGTGAAAGCTTCCCTGCCACTTGGGCCATATGAACCAGCAGATCCAATGGTGCTTGAGGTGTCAGTAGCAGATAGGGGTGCTGTTTGGAGCCTTTGGCAGGACCCCATAGGTGAACCAGAGCAGAAGCCTCTAGGATTTTGGAGCAAGGCCCTGCCATCTTCTGCAGATAATTGTTCTCCTTTTGAGACAGCTCTTGGGCTTTTACTGGGCTTTGGTGGAAATTGAATTTTTGACTATGGGTCATCAAGTCACCATGAGACCTGAACTGCCTATCATGAACTGGGTGCTTTCTGACCCATCTAGCCATAAAGTGGGTCATGCACAGCAGCAATCCATCATCAAATGGAAGTGATATATACGTGATCAGGCTCGAGTAGGTCCTGAAGGCACAAGTAAGTTACATGAGGAAGTGGCTCAAATGCCCACGGTCTCCACTCCTGCAACACTGCCTTCTCTCACCCAGCCTGTACCGACGGCCTCATGGGGAGTTCCGTAATATCAATTGACAGAGGAAGAGAAGACCAGGGCCTGCTTCAAAGATGGTTCTGTACGATATGCAGACACCACCCAAAAGTGGACAGCTGCAGCACTACAGTCCCTTTCTAGGACATCCCTGAAGGACAGCAGTGAAGAGAAATCTTCCCAGTGGGCAGAACCTTGAGCAGTGGACCTGGTTGTGCACTTTGCATGGAAGGGGGAATACTGATTCATGGGCTGTAGCCAATGGTTTGGCTGAATGGTCCGGGACTTGGGAGAAGCATGATTGGAAAATTGGTCACAAAGAAATTTGGGGAAGAGGTATGCAGATGGACCTCCCTAAGTGGTTGAAAACTGTAAAGATAGTTGTGTCCCATGTTACCACAACATGGGTCATGGGCTCTCCTTGCTCCTCAGCCTGCAGATGGCCTATTGTGGGGACTTGTGATTGTGTGAGTTAATACTTAATAACTCTCCTTTATACATATGTCTATTCCATTAGTTCTGTCCCTCTACAGCACCCTGACTAATACAGTTGGTAAAATGTATAACAACAAGGAACAGGTTGAATAACAAAAAGATCCGCCAGTTTCTTCATCAGCACTGTCTATTCTTATATACAAAAGAGACAGTGTGAACTAATATTTTACTTGAAAAAAGTTTAAAATTTGAAATGTTTTCATAAGAGGTTCATTTATCTTTGGAATTATTTTATTTGTGTTAGGAAAAATAGAACATGTGTGCATAAAAGTAGAAAAGAAACATATTTGCAAGCCAAAGTACAATCTCTAAATAAATTAAGGAGGACAGAAATAATCAGATATCAATGTCTAACCAGAGGCATCTCCTTATTCTCATATTAACAGTAACATGTGCTCAAATTTACAATGGCTGATGTTTGAATCTAATCTGCCAGTACCTTTTGGTATATATTCCTTGTTTATGTCAACTCAAGCCCTTTATCACAGGAAGAACAGAATAATAGAACAGATTCCCAAGGCAGTGCTGAGGTTAATAAAAAATAAGTCATAAATATACAACATGAGGGAAAAATAAGAACGGCAGGAGCTACTCTAGTATATAAGCTATTGCTTTCTCATTAAAATGTCCTGAAATTTTAAAGATGAAAATTCCTATTGCAAATGCCTTTTTTTCCTTACTAAATAAGGTCTGGTAATTTTACCTTATAAACTGGATTGAAAGGTTCTATGAGTGATCACAGACAGAAACTGTTGTAATGATTACCACACTTCTTCTCAGCAGAACCCTGGTGCTACTAAGCGTGATTTTCCTTTCCCTTCACAGTGATAGACGTGTTTTTCTAGCTAATGGAATTAAGGGGGAAGAATTGTGAAGGATGTGACACTAATCATCCAGGGAACTGGGGAAAAAAAGAATCGTAGTATTCTTTGCTGCTCAGGGCCATTTTTGCTCACCATGTCTTAAATTACATCCATTCTATGATTTACAGGCATCTCGGTTTCATCTAGAGAGCTATCTGGATCAAAACAGTAATATAGCCGTGTTGACAAATGCCACAAAGCCGACTTTCTTCTCAGGGGCCAACTTGAATTTCTGCTTAGTCGCAAGCAGACCACAAATGAACATGATTAAAATCTCAGAATGATCTTTAATACAAGACTGCCCATCTTGGCCACATTGGCTTTCTAAGGGTATTATCTAGTGTTTCACTAGCACACCAGGTTCATGTAACATTCCCCAGTATCCCATGGGGGACATCTTGAAGAGAGAAGTGTATGATTCACATGCGCAGCTAGGAGATCAAAAGAGTTTTCTGGATATTGAATATTTGGTAAATTCCAAAAATCTGAGACAGAAAGTTGGCCTTAAGGCTATAAAAAAATACAATTTTGTTCCTCCTCAGCATTATATAATCAAGCATTTGTGTGTGAAATCCAGAAAGCTGCTTAAATTTTAGGTCCCTTGAAGGGCTAGGAGCTTAGCATTTCCTTCAACTAATATCAAGGGAGGAAGAAAATTGAAGGAGCTATTTTTCCTGTGTCATTATTTGTTTCCAATTAATAGTCACAGAGATATGAAAAGGGTCATGTAATTTAAGAAGTCCATGGTATAGAGAGTTACTGAAATAATTGCCCAGCTTGGAATCTTCATCAGCTTGTCAGATCTCTCTCCCTCTACAAGCACTTTCATAGTATACTTTAAGAGACCACTGTGTAACCTTCACAGGCCAAACATCTACCCAGCAGCACATGATTAAACTCTCAAACATATATAAAGAGAGCTCTGCTGGATATTCTCCTTTCAACCAGCCAGTATTTCAGGCTTCACAATGTAATTTTTTTTTATAACAGCTTGCATTATAAGAAAAAGGCTGTATAACTGGAGGAATAACCAGAAGTAGTTGAAGAAAGTGAATATTGCAAACTGCATTTCTTCCTGGAACTAGTAGCAATTCAAAATTTAGTAATGTTGGTTGCAAATTTACATGAGTTCCAAAGTACTTACCTTGATCAAAAGTACAGGTTAAAGTCTAGCCCCAAAGATGATATTGTTGAGTATTATTTCTTATGTGATGTAAGGAGATGAAAGAAGTTGCTTTCTTATAATTATAATAACTTATAAGTATTAATAAGTACTTGTAGTGCAGGTAGGAATAGCATAGTACTCAGTGTAATCTATAATAGAGTGGTTAATCACAGATACTGGAGTCTGACTCTCTGAATTCAAATCTCAGCTTTTTAATTTTTACTAGCTACCTGACTTTGGGGAAGGCATTTCACCTCTCCAAGGCTTAGGTTCTTTATCTTTAAAATGATAATAGCAGTATTTTAAAAATTAGGTACAGGATATTGTGGGAGATCAAGTCTTGTAAAGGATTTTAGACAATACCTCTCAAGTTGTAAGTGCTTAACAATCGCTACTATTGTTTTTGATAGCTTAATCACTATCTCCATTGTTCTTTGGATATAAAAATGTTTAAAAATGTTATTTAGGCCTGGCACAGTGGCTCACGCCTGTAATCCCAGCACTTTGGGAGGCCGAGGTGGGCGGATCCCGAGGTCAGGAGATCGAGACCATCCTGGCTAACACGGTGAAACCCCATCTCTACTAAAAATACAAAAAATTAGCTGGGCGAGGTGGTGGGCGCCTGTAGTCCCAGCTACTCGGGAGGCTGAGGCAAGAGAATGGCGTGAACCCCGGGGGGCGGAGCCTGCAGTGAGCCCAGATCACGCTACTGCACTCCAGCCTGGGCGTCAGAGCAAGACTCAGTCTCAAAAAAAAAAAAAAGAAAGAAAGAAAGAAAAAAAAAGTTATTTAAAAAAATAGATCCTTTGAATTGGTTTTCTTTTTTTTTTTTTTAGTGAGGGCGTCATCCAAAACCATGAAAAGCTAACATTGACATCAGCTTTGGGTAAACAGGGCTACATCACAGAATGTTTTGTAAGGATGTTTAGCTTTTATTGTGAAGGCAACTGGAGTTTATTGAAGAGCTTTGAGCGAGGAAGTTTTAAGATATTAGGCTGTGAGAGAGGAATTTCAGGGCTGTGGCAAGGAAATTAGTTAGTCACAACCATAGAGAAAGGGTTAACAGGCAGCTGCTATGAGTTCTTTGGATTCTAAGGTTATCAGAGGTTGGATCTTTAACACGCAAATCAAATTAAGTGCAAGAGGAAAACTTGCAAATTGATGGTTAGGTAAATCTTTGTAATCATGATTGCTTATTATCTAAGTATTCATTTTTAAGTCAATTTTTCTATTCTGAAGTTTTTTTTGTTTTTTAAATGTTTAGGATGACATTAGAAATCTAAGCAAACAAAATGTGACTTTCTTTCTGGACTACATCAATTAACAAACATCAAATTTGCTATTGTTTTCACCAAACCATCTAAAACTGAAATTGCAGAGATATCTCATAATTGATCACATGTATTTAGTATTTTATTTTTGCAATCACAACACTCTCTCAAGGTTGTCATTAAATATTTTTTATTTTAAAGAGCAAACTCAGTTGCAAGAAATATTAAAAAACTTTTCAGAAAAAATATATTAATCATATTGAAGGCAAGGGGGACTAATGACCAGTGGCAGAAGCATGTGACCGGTGATAGTTTTATAACAAGGTAAGAAAAATAAATTTTCCTTATTAAGGGAATTTTGCTAAAATAATCACATAAAGGTGATAAGCTTCAGTTTCAATTTCACTTCTGGCATGTGTGTACCACTTTAAAGAAAATAAAGGCATCCATAAACTTTGTCCTGGTTTCTGGCAATGGGTGGCTTTAATGATTCATAGAATATTTAGGGGTGAACGTAAATACATTGAAAAAAGTTATGTTACTTGTGGAATGCATATATACATATGTGTGGCATAAAGCTGTATGATTACAACAGATTTAGGATAAATTTATTCAGATAGAATTTGAATGAGGGGGCAAGCATGGCAATGGCTTCTGAGCAACTGTTGAGAACTGTGTTTTTGTTTCACTGTTGGAGAAAAGAAATGAGAACTGGAAAAACTTATAACCTGTAAAATTTAAAACTGAATCAATTGAATTACCTGAGCCTAGATTTTACCTGGGGCTTGTTTAACTTGAGATTGAAATCGTAATTAAAAAACAAACAGACAATAAACTCATCATTCCCTTACCTTTCATTTGTGTGGATGCTCCCTTTTGTTTAAGCATGCTCAAATCTTGATGAGTTTTTAGGACGAAGAAACTTGAAAGTCTCTGGGAAATTAATATCAACAGCACAAAGAAATCATCACAGAGCCTTTGGAATTGACCGCAGGATGAAAACTTCTTAGTTTTAGAATTTCTTGAGAGAATTTTCCTGCCAAAATATAAACAATAAGTTGTTTTAATTAAGGTATAATATGTTCTTATAGTTAGTGAGAGAAGAGCTATATTTTTCTTCAGCAACCAATAAAACTACAAAAAGTATTTCAGATGTAACATAAAAAATTGCACACTATAATACATTGGATTTATCTAAAACAGAGCAATGATTTGAAATAACATATCCTTGAGACAGCGTAATAATTTTGTTTTTATACATTTGGGGAATAATGATAATTTTTAAAGGAGGCCAGTATTTTAATGTGTCTGAAATTAGATCTTGCAATGGTCAACAGTCAATGATGATGTACAGGTCTCCTACTTTTGCACATAGGGAGAAATGCAGGGCTACTCATCTGACCATTATTACATTAAATGGAAGTGTGGACTTGATTTATGAAGTCTAAGAGCTCCTTTTATCTTCCCTCCCTCCCTTTCCTCATTCCTTCTTGCATACATTTTTAAACTGTTGCCTACTTAGAAAAAAATCTTAGTGGATTCTTTTTAAATTGATTTTTCTATTATGAACAGTATACTAAGCAATTTTAACTTTATCCTATAGCCAATGATATCATTAGAGACTATTGAACACGGGAACGTTCTGACCGTGAACTGTTGGATGGATTGGTGGGATTACAGTCTGGAAGGCAGGAGGCCTATTGTAACAGATGAAAAATTGGGGTTTGGTTAGGTTAACAGCAGTGAAAATGGAAGGAAGAAAGAGTTTTGAAAAGGAAGAATCAAAGGAGCTTGCCAATTAGCTTTTGGGGGAGTGACAGCTACAGTTGTAGCTAAGGATTCAAGTGTCCCCAGTAAGGAAGAATAAGTGATGAGAATGTATACAATAGAAAGGAAAGAAAATAAAATATTACAAAGAGCAGGTAGTGGCATTGGATGTAATTTGAAAGAATAAAAAGAAGGAAGTACATTTTAAAAAGAGACATGACACCTAGACAGTTAATTGCATCGTGGGGGACCACCTTATTATTTCGCTTAACTTTTCACGTAAGAAGAGGTCTTGGTGATGACTAGGGATGATGCACTGTCAAGATTGGGGAAACATTCTGTCCTAGGCTATTTTGATTTGTTTCAACCAATATTTATAAGATGTGATAAAAAATGATAATGGTGAAGGTAAAAGGTTGGTACAAGAAGATAAGACCTGGCTGTGTTTTAGCTAATTCTGGTTACTTCTTTTCAAAATAAAGTAAGTTTCTTTTCTTATCCCTCTGAGTGTGCACGTGTGCATGTCTGTGCCTTGGGTTTTGATTACAAAATTTGCAATCATAACTAAACCACTGAATGCCTACTCAGTGCCAGGAACTGTGCAAATCACTGATCACATTTACTCTTCACAGCAACCTTTAAATGTAGTAACATTATTGTTCCAGCTCTATAGATGGGGACATTGAATCTCGGAAAAATTAAAGAGATTTGCTGAAGTTCCCAAAGTTAATAAATGGCAGAGCCCAGATTCAAATCTAGGCAGTCTGGCTCCAGAGTCTTAGTTGTAAACAAATGTACTTTACTCTCAAATTTTATATTTGCTCTGAAAAAAAGGTACATAACCTCTCGTAAAAATTTCAGAAAATAAATTTATTTTCATCTTCAGCTTTTTCATATCATGTAGAGAGTAAAGGATTTATGTAGCGTATTAAAACTTTAATTAATGTAGACAGAATATGTACATAGCCTGGATTTCTGAGGGAAAATGTGATAAAATTTCCTCTTTCCTTTCTAAGAGCACATAACCTGAAAACATCAGAGCTTCCACGTATGCATTTAAATGAGTAGTATTTGTCTTGAGATTATTTATTCATTGAGTGGAATGTTCCTGGTTGTATAATTTAGCACGAAGAGGTAAAAGTTTTTTCCCCACTTTTCTCCCCAAGTTGATTTTTCAGACATGAATTGCCTTTTACTCCTTCTCTACAGGCAAATTTCTATTCGTTTGACAAGATTCACATCAAACTGAATTCCCTAATAATTCCAGGGAATTAGTGGCTCGCTTTGTGGGATTATCTAGCACTCTCCATAAACCTCTCAGAACATGTTACTTTGAGCAATCATATCTTGAGGGCAAAGAGCTTCTATCTTATCTATTACCTGATGCACAGTAGGAATGTATTAGAAATAGTTGAGCTGATGAATAAATGAAAAATAGATGTATTTCAGAATACTATTGTGAGCATTTCAAGCCTGAGTATAATAGCCCTTTGTTCTAAAGAGCACAAATGACTTTTGGAATTCCTGAGGTACAATAGAGATTTGGGGAACAAAAGATTTCATTTGTGGTCCAAATGAAACTCTTACAGTAATTTCACTTGAAAGTCATAATGTGCACTGCCTGACTACGTTTTTTAAAAATATGACTGTTGATGGTGCTTTCTTCAATTTTTTCTTTTCAATTCTGAATCTGTTCTTGATTGCTCTGAGTATCATCTTGCTGTTCAGAGTGAGTGTCCAATTATATTTAATTGCATCACTTTTCACAGTTAAAATTTCCACCATGACCAATTTTTCTGTGTTCCTGGATAGCTTTATGAGTAATCTATTATTTTTCTAATTTCCAATTTGAAATAATGACATGCTCAATTTGCTTCTTATGTTTGTCTAATGTATATGTCTGTGAATGTCAATTGCCTTTATTCATTTTAGCAAAATTGTTTAATTCACTTTAATTATAAGTTTGCTATGTTTCGCTTAGACCAAGCACACTATAAGATTCAACAGTTTTTTCTGCTATAACAATTATATTTCTCAGATGGCAAGTTATTGTGTCAGAACAATCAAATGACCTGAGATAGTTAGCCAAGGGGGATAATGGATGCAAATGGAGGATTTATTTGGCACACGTAAGTGATTTGATTGTCTTTCTTTGCATCTCAAAGAGAATAAAATTTCATATACTACCAGGCAGAAAAGATGAAAGGAGCCATTTCTACACCCTCCTATTTTAAGTAATTTATTCAGTCTTATTCCTGCAAATTTAGTAAAATTTGTTTTTCTGAGTGAAGTTATGCTTTTCTACCTAGAAGTAGAGAAGAAACCCAGTTCTGTATTTTCTATTTATGGATAGAAAGGGCCTTGTTTAGCAGTGGAATTTGAGTCAAGTTTTAGCATATGAGATAGCCACAAAATTGACACTAAATTGAATTCACTGCCTCTCAGTGTCTTCAACCTGAGAGGCAAATAACCAACCATGTGGCAGTATATCTGCAGTTAAAGCAGCTTCTCTTAAAGGATTACCTACTGCACATAATTTTGTCCTTTGCCCAACTACATGAATATTATAGTAAGTTACAATAATTTATAACCAATTATTTCAACAAGCATTTCCTAAACCCTATCTAAATTCCCAGCACTATAGCAATCTGTGGAAGTTACAGCAGTGAATACAGTTGACTGAGCATTTGGGCAGCTTGCAATCTACAGGATCATGGGCATCAGACAAATTAACACAAGGGGCATAACCACAATTAGGGAGACATTTAGAGAGCTAATAAAGGCCAGTTAGAGTGATCTACCCAGGGTCACAACTGGGAGGAGGCCAAGTCAGGTGTTGAATGTCTGCCCCAAACCTTATCAAAATGAGTAAAAGCACTTGAAGTCCTAATCTACCCACTGTACTCAGTAAAAGGCACAAAGGTTCCAATATCTACATATAGTGAAGAGTTAGAAAGACTGAAGATTAATTTCCTACTTTCAAGACTTAGAAACAAAGTAAACACCACTTCCTGATCCTCAATTTTCTCATCTGTAAATTAATCTACTGTATAATGTTCATATATTCAATAGTGTTTTCTATATCACACTCCATAAATGATGGCTATTTATTTTAGTAAGACTGTGTGTGGACTTTTCAATAATGCAAGGTTAAAAAAATGTAGAATTTTTGAAACAGATTTTGAATAAGCTCTTTCCTACTTGAATTCAGGTCAGTATAACTTCTAAATTTAGAGCCTATGTTTCAAATAATCTGAGATACCAATGTGTAGAAAGCTAGGGAACAGCCTACATGGAATAAAGATCATGGTAGCCTTCATCCTTTCCCCCATTCCACAACCCCCTTCTCTCTCTCTCTCTCTTTCTTTCTCTCCCTCTGTCTTCTTCCCCCTCTCCGCCTTTCAGCACTTGTAGTACATTTTTGTTTGTAACCGCTGAGGGAATTATCTGCAGTCTTTCTTGAGGAAAGGGAAATAGGAAGAAAGCATGGAGAAGAAAGAGGATTTTCAAGTTCAAAAGGTACCTAGTTTGCGCTCATCTTTTCTGAAATTTGAGAAGATTTAACTCTGAGTGTTCCCAACAACCTTTCTGGTAGACAATGCTTGTAGCAAATGAATGCATGAGCAGAAACCATATCCAACAAAACAAAACAAAAAAAAAAATAGATAAACTGAAATTAGAGAAAACCAGACGAAGCCCTAGTACAGATTTTCTTTATGATTTTGGTAATATATACCAGGCTACTAGGTACAACTGAATAAGCTGGCCAATTGGTAGCAGCAAAATCTTTATCCTAAAGTCTTTATGTTTAATATTATTTTCACATAAATGATTTTTTTCTCCTGATTCAATTTTCAGTGAACAGTGAACACGTTTAAGAGCAGATATGTCAATTATAAGCACACAGGGCTTAAAATGCCACTATTATAAGCATATTTTTTTTCAGAAGATTTTTAAGCTTTTAAAAGAGAACTTTTTTTTAGGAGATAGAATATATTATTTCAATTTTTCTCTGCTCTTCACATTTTTTTCTCCTTAATGTAATCATAAGACAAATATATAGTGTCAAACTTCATGGGCTTAAAAAAAATCTTTCACCTGTAAATTCTTTCTCAATTCTCTATGCCCAGTAAGAAGAGATTTGGGATATGTCACCAGGAGAACTGGGATTATTAAATGACACTTTCAATTGTTAGAGTTCTGTGTGAGTTAGAGACATTGAATTTAGTGGGCTCAATTTTAATCTGTTTTATAAGAAAGTGTCACTTTATATCATGTGAAAAAAATACTTCCTCAATTGGGATACAAAACATCAAAGTACTTCTTTGAACCTTTCAATATGTCTCCTAGGATAAAAACAACAAATCCTGTTTTTACTTTTCACGTCATACAGACTATTTTTTTTCAATCTGCCACCTAGATTACTTACCATTTTTATAAATCTCTGGCTGTCCTAACATTTAATATTCTTGTTTTAATGTTTACATGTCATGAAGACAAAGCATTTGAAATCTGTATTAAAAACTATTCTTTACTTAGGGTACATAAAACATGTTAACATTTCAGAATAAAGTATGGTGTTTGATATAGAAGATTCATGTAGAATTGATTATCCAAGCGCTTCTTGAAAAATCCTTAGGATTATGATTTTACTGATCTCTAATCCCTTTTGATAATGGAGATAATGCAAATAGACATTGAAAGTTAATAGCATCGTCATATGGTGGAGATAGGCAATTTACCAAAAGCACATATCACTATTTTCCATGAGCATACACATACAAAGCATTGGCAGCCTCCACATTACATAAAACCACTAAAAGCAAAGCAAATAATTTAGGTAAATGTTATATATTCTACTAATCAGTGTCTTGTTTTCATTGTTTTCCACAGTTTTTTAAACTAAATACCTTTCTCCCATGTAGGATTGGCCTTTTGGAATTAAGCTGAAGACTCTGAAACTGTCTATTGTTATTGTTTGCTACTTAGAGCTATTTCCCCAAAGGATTGTAATCAGTTTGCTTCTAAAGAATATGTGATGTTTGAAAGAGAATGGCAGACAGAAAATTAAAAATAAAATAATTACGAAATGGAAATACATAAAGTAGGTTGCAAATTGTCTTATCAACTTTGGCCAATTAGTCTGAAACAAGCTCTAAACCCATGCTCTTAGAAATGTCAAATCTATATTTGTATCAAAAAGTGGTTCAATTTTAATCCATCCATATGCCTGTGATTTAGAAAAATACATGGAAGACACCTGGAGACAAACATTGCAAAATGACTTTATTTACAGCTAATCAATATTGGGCAACCACATGGCTTTTTAAGTTTTCTGTTATACCTGGCTCTAAAAGTACAAATATAAAACAGCCATAGATAGAGTCTGAGTTGATAGGTCAATAATAAACATGTCTTTGTAACACTGATGCCTTTCTGTTTAGAGAGAGCAATCTGGTAAGTTTCTGTACATTTAAATCATTTCTTTAAAATTACTGAAATCACTGGATATGATAAAACTAGTCCATTGTTTCATATTACAATGTATATGATTCTCTAAGTAATTCTAAGACCTAAGTATATGACCATCTAAGTAATTCTAAGTAAATATATATATATGTAATTCTAAGAACCAGCTGGTATTAAATAAATACTGTCCTAAAAGTATAATATAATACATTTGCATGTCTCTAGATAGAATTTCTATGCGTTTACTTACACTGTGTATACTTATATACACACAGCTATAAATTGGTAAGTACGTTTTGAATAAAATGATCATATTCATATTTCATAGAACTTACCCTTCTTGAGTTTGATGTGTCAGTGAAATTTTACCTTTGTCAAACTCTTCCAAGTCAGAGTTATTGTTTAAAGGAATATATTTTTCCTGCTTATCTGCTTCCATCATTTTCATTTCTGAAAGTCTTGATTCAATAATCTCTGAAAGTCTGCTTAAATCCTAAGGTGATTTAAAAGCTATGCTTATAAATTCTATTTGTATCCTATAATAACATTAAGAACAAACTTTGGGGTAGACAGCTTGTTAACCTGAGCTTCCTAACTTAGTGTTGAGCCTGCAGCTCAAGAAGCCTGTGGGGTTTTCCTGCAAAAAGTTCCTCCCACTTTAACTGCAGGTAGGATTTCAGTGTCACCTTCACAGGACTGGATGTGGGGAGGGCAAAGGAGAGAACAAGTCTAGCAAGATAAAGGACTCACATGAGGGGAGGTGATGTGAAAGCAAATATCAATCAATAACCAATAACCTGTTTTGTGAATTTCGATCTAAGTTTTCCCTTCATCTGAAACTGTTAATAAAAAAGAGTCAAAAAATTTTTTAAAAGGGGGAACAACAGTGTCATTTTATTATTTATTTATTTATTTATTTGACGTTTAAGTTCCTGGTTACAAGTGCAGGTTACATAGGAAAGCTTTTGTCATGGGGGTTCGTTGCACAGATTATTTCATCACCCAGGTATTAAGCCTAGTACCCATTAGTTATCTTTCCTGATCTTCGCCCTCCTCCCCCACTCCACCTTCTGAAAGGCCCCAGCCTGTGTTGTTCCCTCTGTGTGTCAATGTGTATTACATACCCTAAAAGACACAGGCTTCAGGCTTCTTTTTTTTTTTTTTTTTTGACGGAGTCTTGCTCTGTTGCCCAGGCTGGAGTGCAGTGGGGCCTCTAGGCTCACTGCAAGCTTCGCCTCCTGGGTTCACACCATTCTCCTGCCTCACCCTCCCCAGTAACTGGGACTATAGGCACCCGCCACTACACCTGGCTAACTTTTTGTATTTTTATTAGAGACAGGATTTCACCGTGTTAGCCAGGATGGTCTTGATCTCCTGAGCTCGTGATCCTCCCGCCTCGGCCTCCCAAAGTGCTGGGATTACAGACGTGAGCCACCGCGCCAGGCCAGTTTCATTCTTAATTCTGTGGCCAAACACTAAACAGCATTCTTGAGCCAGATTTTTTTCTTTCTAGCTCAGGCTACTGTAGTCTCCACGTTCTGTGATGTCTTTTATTCAAGTAAGAATGCAAGTCCTTTCAGGTATCTTCGAAATCTTTATTCTGATATGTAACCCTGGCAATAAAGTATTAGTACCTATACGTTGGATGTAAATAAAGCCCATTAATCATTTGTTGATCAAAAAGGTTCAGAAAATTAGTAGGTTGTTCATATGTGGACAATATTCTTATTAGTCTATTAGTTCTGTTCATTTTGCAAAGGGTAGATACTTGCACAGGCAATTGCCATCTTTTCATCTTTCTCTTAGAGAACTGGTTCTCAGGCTGGAACATTACATTCACTTGGGGAGTGTTTAAAAAAATATCAGTGCCAGGGCCCCAATTCAGATAAATTAAATCACAATTTTTGAAGGCAGAATCATATATATATATATGGGCTCTATATGTTTACGTCTCTCTCGGACACATAGCTAGATGATATGCAGTTACGTATGGCCATAGGACTGAGTTCCCAACAATGGATGGTGATGAAAAAGTGCTTCTGATACTTTCAAGTCTGAACATAAAGCTGTTTTCTTTATCTATTTGCTTGCTCCATTGAACATACTCTGAAAACTTAGAGGAAGGTAAAGTTAGAATATGTAAGAAATTTGTAAATTTTTGCATGGAAGGTACCTCCCAGGAGAGCCATCTTACCAAAAACACTCACAATGGGCTACTGTGTGAGCAGCAGATACATTTTTACTGTGGTAAGCCACTGAAATTTTGGGAATTCTTATTTTAACATTTAGCCTATCTTCAGTAATACACAGAAGAAAGTATCAGAAGATGAATGCAATACTCAGGTCTTAGGAAGAGAAGGATTAAGAACTGATGTGAGAATTCTAGTAGCAGCAGTTTGCTGATCTTGAATGTGGAGCACTACCTGTAATTGAGCTCCAACAACTGCCAGCCCCCATGATACTTCATCTTCAACTTCTTTTTTCTGGAAACAAGAATCTGAAGGATTCATAGTTAATCCACTGTCCAACTCTGGATCAGTTAGTTAGCTGTGGCTGGTGGAAGAGAGCACACTTTTGGAAAGACAGAGAGAATCTCCTTTTTTTCTGTTGTATTTCTATTACTGCTCTTATTATTTCTATAGTGCTTCTGTGTAAATTCCCTCAAAACTTGTATGAAATTACTAGAACAAAAATAAATAAATGTATAAATAATACATAGATCAAGGATTCTATTTTTTTCCTCTTTTTAAGTTAGCAGTGCCACTTATTTCTCCACAGGCCTTTGGCATCATTCATATTCTTCAACCTCTTCAAAGGTTTCTAATAGTAGTTCACTGATCTCATTTACACGTTTTTCATATATCCTGAAATATAATTATCCTCCCACCATGAGAATTTAATTCATTTACAACAGCCCAGGTATTCTTTTACAATCTCTTCTTACATATTAAGTTTTATTTCCTTCTTATCATGCTGAAGTTCATTCTCCTTGACAGGGAAGATAGAAATAAGATGACAGAGAAAAAGTACCTCATGTTGTCCATCAACAGTATATCATAGGCTGCTGAAAACCAGCCTTTGTATTTCATCATCTTTCTTGATTTGAATTTAACCAAAAGAGTGGACATTGTTTTTCAGAACAATTCTTTAAAGCCTAAACTCATTAGGAGCTTTAGATACAATAATATTGGTCTTATTGCTTTATGTAATCTTTCTACTGATCTTTAAGAGAACCATCTCCACCATTTTTACATATAAATTTTAAAGTGTGAATTCATCAGAGCACACTGTATGTACTTTTTCTAGCTTTATTTAGGTATTTTCTTCTCTCTTTCTCAATAGGATCATTTATGATTGAAAAAATAAATATTATACTTCTGAGAATCCCTAAGTCACCATCTATGACAGAATCTCATATCATAAAATCATTACTATCTCTTTCCTAAATGTTTGAATTTCTGCCTTTAAGGATACATGTCTTCATTGTCTCAGTTATTACAAACTCTTAAATCACATGGTTTCTTTTTCCTTGTTTTATTGTCACAAAGAGAAGGAATGGCACTATCTGAGGAATGAATTATCATTTTTTGATTTTCTGTCTTGGAAATATAATTCTTAATATATGCAGAGTCACTAGCCTAGCTGCAAAACTAGTTAAGAGCATAGAAAAATAAAATGTAAAAATCAGAATGACAATTTTTGAATTCACATTCATAGATCTCTATCAACGAGGACATGTAGATACTTTCATTAAATGATGAGCTTATTCTTCCTCTGCAGTCAAATATATATAAAATGTCAAATTGTAATCTAATGACATTGGGCAAATTGAAATAAGTTGGGTGATTTTTATTATTAGGATCATCATTCCATAAAAGCTGGATGCGTCAACCTTACCAAGAAGGAAATATCTATATATTTGCTTCGGGAGGCTGAGGAGGATCTCTTGAGCCCAGGAGTTGGAGGCTGCACTGAGCTATGATTGTACCACTCTACTCCAACCTGGGTGCACAGTGACACCTTGTCTCTAATACCTATATCTATATATAAACAATCTATAGACACACACTTCATATATGTGTTTATATATATATATATATATGATATTTTTCAGGCTAGTATTTAGGATCCCCTAAAGTCTTTGGCTATGTTTGGGGGATATTATTTCTATAATTGTATTTTACTTATGTATTTTAATTTATAAATTATAAAAAATTAGTTATAAAACCTAAATTGTATTTTCAAGGAATTATTCATAGTTGAAAATAATTTTTAATTCTCAAGTCAATGTTCTAAATTGATATAAACAGACTACAATTTTGAGAGGATGTGAAGGCAACAGTTTCATATCTGTCTCTAAGCCATTTATTGCCCTATTAAAAACAAAACCTTTTTGGAGTTATTTCACTAGGCAATAAGTCATAAATTACCTGCAAAGACTAGTTTTTTATCCAAGTCCCAAGATCCAATAAGATTTACTTAGAAATCCCTAGCTAGGCAGAAATATGAAAATATTTTCTTGCTTTCCCACAGTCTCTAAGGCAAATTTACCTATCTTGGCTTTAAGCATTCATGTGCTGATAGTTTAGCTCTCTCAAAATAATGTCATTTTTCTATTTTCAAATTCTCTGTGGCTCCAAACTCCTTTATTCTTGAAAATTTCACTGCAACACAAATTAATTCTTATGCCTGGAGAATTGGCCTGGAGCAGTGTTTTTTTTTTTTTCCCAAGATGAATTTTTCAGCAGAGCATATCAAGAATTTGTTAGGAACTATATAATATTAGTTAAATAAACTCCAAGGATTTCCCAGATATTTGAAAGTTGCCAGTGGTTTCTGACTTTTGTGCCAAGGGTACATTAGTTGGTCTAGGATACTTATATAATATTATTATATTAATTTATCTTTTCATTTATTCTTAGCCATATATTTACATGTCAATATTCATAGGCCCAAAAGATTCAAAAATTTTCATGCAGGTAAATATCTTCTTGAGATACTGTTTTCTTATCCAAAACACCTTTTAAATATCAAATGAACATTTATTGCTCTAATCCAGTATTTAGCTCCATTCCAACTAGTCTTAATAAAACTTAAGCAATTTTATTTACATTCCTAAATTTATACTTGCAATTACAATTAGTCTTTGACACCACCTGACAAAACTGCTATGTTTTCCTTTTCCTGTTCTCCATGATGACTTTGTCAAACACACTCTACTGTTTTTTAACTCTCTCTTGTCTGTCTTCACATCACAGAAAATCAAAGACTTCATAGGTGAGTAATCCTAACTTGGGGAAGAAAGAAAAAACTGCCTGTATTTGCAATCACTCTTACTTTCCTTTTTTTTTTTTTTTTTTTTAATAATGTTTAGTAATTCACTGTTATGTGCCAAGGACCTACTAGATTCTGCTACTGGGTTTACAGTCTAGTAGTCAGGGAGAAATACAGGTGTACCGGTAAGTCCCACATTACGTGATAATGTTCTCACTTATAAGTCGGAGCTAAATGATGAGAACACATGGGCATATATGGGGGACAACACACACTGGGGGCCTATTGCAGGGCAGAGGGTGGGAGGAGGGAGACAATCAGGAAAAATTACTAATGTGTACCAGGTTTAATACCTGGGTGATGAAATAATCTGTACAACAAACCCCCATGACACTAGTTTATGTATGTAACAAACCTGCACGTGTACCCCTGAACTTAAAACAAAAGTTAAAAAATATTAAAAATGCTATATAGAGGTGTGATTGAGTTTAAGATACCACCAGAATAGAACTCTAATCAGATAGGTAAGCTAGGATTCTTCTACTGTCTGTAATGCATAAGCAAAATCTTGAAGAATGAGTAAAGATTAGCCTGGAGAGTGGAGTGAGAAGTTCTAACCAGATGACTTGGAATTTGTATAGCCATGGGTACAAAGGAGCAGGAAAGTTTTCTGTTATTTATTTTTGCCCCTGAAGAACCTAAATATTTATTTATTTAAATTCTTAGTTATTGTGTGACCGAAGCAAAGGGAATATATGGGATGTAAGGAAAATGATTAGAAATGAACTATCAAATTATACAGAATCTTAAGTGCCCGTGCTTTATTCTTATGTCTCATAGGGGATGGGATTGGCACTGGAGGGCTTTAGCAAGAGAAGTTGTTATGGATTGAATTATGTCTCCCCGAAATACATATGTTGAAGTCCTAACCCCCAATGTATCTATATTTAGAGATAGGGCTTTTGAAGAGGTAATTAAGGTTAAATGAGGTCATAAGGGAGGGGCCCTAATCCAATATGGTGGGCATCCTCATAGAAAGAGGAAAAGACACTAGGGATGCCTGTGCACAGAGAAAACGCCATGTGAGGACACAGAGAGAAGATGCCATCTGCAAGATGAGCAGAGGTCTCAAAAGAAACTGAAGCTGATGACACATTGACCTTGAATTTCTAGCCTCCAGAACTGTGAGCAATAAGTTATTGTTTAAGCTACACAGTAAGTGGTATTTTGTTATGGCAGCCCTCAGACTAATACAGAGGTATAATAAGTCTCATATTTTCAAAGTAAATTCTAATATCGATATGAATAATAAATTCAATGGGTGCGGGGAGAATGTATGAAAACTGAAAACAAACTATGAGTAACACAGGTATTTTGTAGGATTGAAAGAAGTGGACATTGGAGAATTGGGGCTAACAGATTTTAAGAACTTAGAATACACTTACAGCAGATTATTAAAAGTCAGAGATAAGGTATATGAAGACAGCTAAGATTATTTTCAAATTTCTCTTTGGAAAGCTAGACTGTACTATTCATCAAGCTAAGAAACAGGAAAAAAAAAAGATCTGGAGGAAAGATAATGGACTTTATTTCTGACATGAGTGGGTTTCAGGTGTCTGTAAGACATCCAAATAGAATTTCCAATAGATACTGAATACTGTGATGAGTAATCTTGAGTGTCAACTTGATTGGACTGAAGGATGCAAAGTATTGTTCCTGGGTGTGTCTGTGAGGGTGTTGTCAAAAGAGATTAACATTTGAGCCAGTGGACTGGGAGAGGAAGACCCACCCTCAACCTGGGTGGGCATCATTGAATCAGCTGCCAGTGTGGCTAGGATAAAAGCAGGCAGGGGAACGTGGAAGGACTAGACTGGCTGAGTCTTCCGGGCTTCATCTTTCTCCCGTGCTGGATGCTTTCTGCCCTTGAACAGCAGATTCCAAGATCTTCAGCTTTTGGACTCTTAGACTTACACCCATGGTTTACCAGGGGCTCAGGCCTTGGGCCACAGACTGAAGGCTGCACTGTCGGCTTCCCTACTTTTGAGGTTTTGGGACTCAGACTGGCTTCCTTGCTCCTCAGCTTGCAGCCAGCCTATTGTGGGACTTCAGCTTGTGATCATGTGAGTCAATACTCCCTAATAATAAACTCCTTTTCGTATATACATCTATCCTTAATAATAAACTCCCTTTCATATATACATCTATACTATTTGTCCTGTCCCTCTAGAGAACCCTAATACAGATACATATATGTAGAGATTAACACAATTCCATGAAAGTTATATATAATATGTATGTGTATATATATGTATATATATGTGTGTATGTATGTATATATATGTGTATATATGTGTATATATATGTGTGTATATATATGTGTGTGTGTATATATATATATATATATAGAGAGAGAGAGAGAGAGAGAGAGAGAGAGGGCTATAAGGCTATACAAAATCTGGTTCTTAGTTACCTAACTCTCCCAATGTAACTCCTATTATTTATCACCATGTATGTACATTCTCCAGTCACAATGGCATTCTTCATGTTTGTGGTAATTGCCAGGAACATTCCTATTGAACTTAATGTTCACCCTGCCTAGAATGTTTTCATGCCAGATTTTTAAATATAATTATCCCTTGCATTATTTATTTCTCTATTAAAATGCTATCTCACAAAGGCTTTCCATGACCCATAACTATCCCCTTCCCCTACATTTTTCTCTTTATGACACTAATGACCCTGGAATGCTGTATGCTGTGCTTATTAGTTCATTGGCTTTCCCATCCTCTAGATTGTAATTTCCATAGATCTGATACTTTACATTTTTTACACCATGTCCCTGGTATATATAACAATGGCAGGTGCATAAAAGGTAGTCAATGAATACGTAGGTAGAGATAGATAGATAGATAGACAGAATGGCTGAATCTAGCCATTAGAATATAAATGGTAGTTGAAGCCATGGTATGTGGATGATGTATCTAGAAGAAAAAAAAAAGATCAAGGAACCAGGATAGAATCCTGGGCTGTACTGATTTCAGTGAGTGAGTGAAAGTAGAGGAGTCTCTTCAAGAAAATTGAGAAGGTAGAGATGTAAAAATAAACAGAGGAGCATTGAGAGAAAAAAAATAGTCAAATGTTTCAGAGATCTCAGTCAAGGTAAAAAAAAAATACTTCATAGCTTTCCTTCCTTACAGCCTTATTTGAAAATCCCATGGATTTTTAATAAGCAACATTGTGCGTACAGGTACAGTCATGTGTTGCAAATGCATGGTGCTTACATACACTGTCGTGTGTTGCGTAACAATGGGGATATCTTCTAAGAAATGCGTTGTTAAGTGATTTAATAATTGTGTGAACATTATAGTGTGTACTTACACAAACCTATATAGTATAGCCTATTATACCCCTAGTTTATAACATAGCCTATCACACCTGGGTTACAAACCTGTACATCATGTTACTGTACTGAATACTGCAGGCAATTGTAACACAATAGTACTTGTTAACATATCTAAACATAAAAAATGCACACTAAAGTATTGTATAAAAGGTTTTTTAAAAGTGGTGCACCATGAATAGAGCTTGCAGAACTGGAATTTGCTCTGGCTGAGTCAGTGAGTGAGTGGTGAATGAATCTGAAGGCTTTGGATATTACTGTACACTACTGTGGATATTATAAATACTGTACACTGAGGCTATACTAAATTTGTTAAAAATTCTTCTCCTCAATAATAAATGGACCTTAGCTTATTTCTTTACTTTATAAAATTTTTAATATTTTTAACTTTCTGACTCTTAAAAGACAAATACTATTTTACAGCTGTACAAAAATATATTCTTTCCTTATATCTTCATACTATAAGCTTTTTTCTATTTTTTTAAACTTTTTAATTTTTAACCTTTTTTTCTTTTTAAAGACACAAACATACATTAGCCTAGGCCTACACAGGGTCAGGATCACCAGTATCAGTTGTCCACCTCCACATCTTGCCCCACTAGAAGTTCTTCTGGGGCAATGACATGCATAGAGCTGTCACCTCCTATAATAACAATGCCTTCTTCTATAATACCTCCTAAGGACCTGCCTGATGCTGTTGTAAAGTTAACTCTTTTAATAAGTAGAAGTATACTCTAAAATAATGATAAAAATCAGCGCACAGTTGTTCACTCCAGCATCACCACAAACACCTGAATGAAGTGTTGCATTACACTCCTGCAGTGGCTACAACATCACTAGGCAATAGGAACCTTTTAGCTCTATTATAATGTTGTGGTACCACAATTGTATATGCAGTCAATTGTTGACTCAAACATTGTTATGTAGCACATGACTGTATATATTTATGCTAAACAAAGAAAGCCATTATAGGAGAATGAGAAAAGACCCAAGGTGGGATATTTGATCAATATAGGAAAAATGAGATCAAAGATAGTGTGGAGGATTTAGCTTTAGATAGGAAAAAGAACATCTCCTCCTCCAGTTGTGAAATAACTATGTCAGCACCTATGGATTCTAGCTTCATATACTGGAACCAATAAGCCCAGTACCTTAAATGTGACTTTAAACTTTCTTTGAGCCAAGTTACCTTCAGGATGTGATTGAGTCCCCAAAAAGATCCTGGTTCATAATTGATACATTACATAATGAAGCACATGTGAAACATAGACAGAACTTTGCTTCTATTTTCTTGAATTTGTCACTATTACTACTACTTCCAACAACTACTGTGTTGAGTTCCTGCACTGGTCAAGGAAAACATCTAAAGACTATATGTGAAACCTGAACAAACATATAAAAGTATCTGACCATATTTTCCCACATATATTAGATCTTAATTTTTGTGAATATTCTCCTGTCTCATACAATATACATTTTTATGTATTGTATTAAAAATGTAAATCAGAACTTGGAATATGCCTGGATATAGTATCTTAATCAACTTCCCTTGTCCCGAGATATGTCTACTTCTCCCTTGCTTAAAGGGGCTGCAACTATTCCCTGGCGTAAGAAAGGTGTTTCAAGAGAAAACACTTTTCCTCAAACGCCAATCCACATTCTTCATTATCTTGAGTTGTAACCACAATCAACCCTTTCTGTGCCTAACATGAATGGTTTTATGATTTAATCAACAGAGACATGAATGCAGCTGTGCTTAGGAGTATTTTAAATGGAAATACTAATTACAGGGCAGGACCCAAGAAGATTCTGAAGACAAAATTATTTGGTCATTCAGATGACTTGCATTCTCCACATATATTTTACTATCCATCCCCTAATAAACGCCTATTGTACTAGGAAAGAATCCCATAGCATGGACCATTTAATAGAATATAAATAAACCATCTCAGAGAAACTACACTGGCATTGGGCAATTTTCCAATTTTGTGCAAATGTAGGAAAATGTTGGATTGGTGCAAAAGGAGGAATTGCTTGATACCCAAGTCCTGGATCTGAAGCTATGGAAAACACTTAATCTTTGAATATCTGAGCAGTGAATGAATATCCTTAAGTTGTAAAAAGGATGGTTATATTGTTAGGATTTTAAAAATATATACTATTTTGTGAAAGATAGAAGGAAGGTTATATTTTAATACTGATCAGCCAAAGTGTAGACTGTATAAGAGACACTTTGTTTGTTTGCCGTTTTGAGTTATTTTTGTGGCTATTTTCAGCATCAGTGCATATTTTTGCTTTGGGAAATTCCTCACTGTATGCAGTATTGGTAGGAAACAATGCCTTACCCCCTCAGGAAAAGTCATTATGAGGGAATAATCCTACTTTTCTGTCACTAGTAGAAAGGGCATACGGACTCTAACTGATTGAAAGCTCATGTCTGGGACTTGAGATGCAAAGATAAAGGATGAGAAACTGGTACCTTTAGTAGAATGCTTTTAATAGAGCCTGGTTGCTGTATTTCTTGTTTATCTTCTAGAGCTGCCCTTGTTCCTGCCTATTTTATAGACCAGCTCTCCAATGTTCCTATTGACTTTATGAGCTTCCCTGTGGTCTTCCTGTACATTTACCCTTGCTTTTGTTTTTATTTAAGACAGCATGATTGACAACTTCTTTTCTCATTGTAAAGAAGTCTAAAGACTATCTCTTCATTTCTCCCATATTACTCAACTACCCTACTACCCCCATCTCTTCCCCTTATAGGGATACTTCTAAATGCTGAAGAATAAAAATCCTGACCTCTCCCCAAAAGCATAATATATTTAGAAAACAAACTAAAGTCATTAAATTATAAGCTGGGTTGCAATTACTTGGCCCACTCTTCTACTGATACTCTTTTTTTTCCCTTTATTTAGAAACACATGCCTTTGGTATGGAATATTCATTAGTTGTTGTGACAACAATTTTCACCTGTATAGAAAAGTCACGGATACTTATATATAGTTTTCATTCATTTCATTTAAAGGGATAATTTTTCATTGTACTTTCTCCTTTTAATTTTTTAAAAATTGACACATAGTAGATGTACATATTTTGGGGGTAAATATGATAATTTGATACATTCATATAATGTATAAAGGTCAAATCAGGATAATTGGATTATCCATCACCTTAAATATTTGTTTTTTGTTTATGCTAGGAACATTCAAATTATTCTTTTCCGGCTATTTTGAAATGTACCATAGATTAATGTTAACTATAGTCACCTGCTGATCTATTGAACACAAGGTCCTTTTACTTTTCTCTAACTGTATCTTTGTATTCATTATTGAACCTCTTTTCTTATCGCTCTCCTCCCTACCCTTCCTGGCCACTTGAAACCACTAATTAACTCTCTATCTTTATGAGATACACTTTTTTAACCCCCACATATGAGTGAGACCGTGCAATATTTGTCTTTTTGTGCTTGGTTTATTTCACTTAACATAATGACCCTCATTTTATCCATGACAAATGACAGGATTTCATTCTTTTTTATGGTGGAATAATATTCTATTGTGTCTATATATACTACACTTTCTTTATCCACCCATCTGTTAATGGGCATTTAGGTTGATTCCATATTTTGGCTATTGTAAAAAGTGCTGCAGTAAACATGGGAGTCCAGATATTTCTTCAGTATATTTATTTCCTTTCTTTTGAATATAGACTCAATGGTGGCATTCCTGGATCATATAGTAGTTGTAGTTTTTAGTTTTTTGAGGAACCTCCATACCATTCTCCATAGTGGCTGTACTAATTTACATTCCCACCAAAATTGTATGTGAGTTCCCTTTTCTCCACGTCCTTTCCAGCATTTGTTATTGCCTGCCTTTTGGATAAAGGCCACTATAAGATAGATAGATAGGTAGATAGATAGATGATAGATAGATAGATAGATAGATAGATAGATAGATAGATAGATAGATAGATGATAGATAGATAGATGATAGATAGATAGATGATAGATAGATAGATAGATAGATAGATAGATAGATAGATAGATAGATAGATAGATATCTTATACTAAATACTTATTATCTGTGGGGTGAAAACGTACCTCGTTGTAGTTTTGATTTATTTTTCTCTGATGATTAGTGATTTATATAGCTCAGATTTTCATCCCCTCCAAATCTCATCTTGGAATCTGACACCCCAAATGCTGGACGTGGGGCCTAATGGGAGGTGTTGTGTCATAGGGGCAGATCCCTCATGAATGGCTTGCTCTCTCTGTGGTAGTGAGTTCTCACTCTATTTGTTCATGCAAGAGGTGGTTGTTTAAAGGAGCCTGGCACTTCTTGCTCTCTCTCTTGCTCCCTGTCTCACCATGTGACAAGCCTGCTCCCCCTTCACCTTTTGCCATGAGTAAGAGCTTCTGAGGCCTCACCAGAAGCTGAGAAGATGCTGCTGTTATGCTTGTACAGCCGGCAAAACTGTGAGCCAATAAACTTCTATTTTAAAGATAAATTTCTCAGCCTTTAGGCATTCCTTTGTAGAAGCACAAAACAAACTAATACAATGACGTTGAATATTTTTTATATACCCGTTTGCCATTTGTCTGTCTACTTTAGAGAAAGGTCTGTTCATATCTTTTGCCCAATTAAAAATTTGATTATTTATTTATTTGCTACTGAGCTGTTTAGGCCCCTTATATATTTTGGCTATTAATCGCTTGTCAGATAGTTTGCAAATATTTTCTTCCATTTTATGTATTGCCTGTTTGTTGATTGTTTCCTTTGCTATGGAGAAGCTTTTTAGCTTGGTGTTATCCTATTTGTCTATTTTTGCTTTTGCCGCTTGTGCTTTTGAGGTCTTACCCAAAAACTCTGCCCAAACCAATGTCTTGAAGTGTTTCCCACTGGAAACTTCTCCTGGTAGTTTCATAGTTTCAGTCCCTTAGATTTAAGTTTTTAACCCATTTTGAATTAAAGTTTTATATGATTAAAAATAGGAGTCTAGTTTAATTATTCTGCATATGGTTATCCAATTTTCCCAGCACCATTTATTCAAGAGACTGTCCTTTCCCCATTGTATGTTCTTGCCACCTTTGTAGAAAATGAGTTAGCTGTAAATGTGTAGGTTTGTATCTGGGTTCTCTATTTGTTTCTGTTGGTCTATGTGTTTGTTTGTATGCCAGTATCATGCTGATTTGGTTATCATCGCTTTGCAGTATAATTTGAAATCAGGTAATGCGATGCCTCCAGCTTTGTTCTTTTTGTTCAAGACTGCTTTGGCTATTTTCAGTTCTTTCCTGGTACCATATAAATTTTAGGATTTTTTTATTTCTTTAAAGAATTTCATTGGTATTTTGATAGGGATTGCACTGAATCTGTAAATTGTTTTGGGTAGTATTGTCATATTAACAATATTAATTTTTTCCAATCCATGAGCATGGAATATCTTTTCTTTCTTTGTGTGTGTCCTCTTGAATTTTCTTCATCAGTGTTTTTATAGTTTTCTTTGTATAGATCTTTACTTTTGGGGTAAAGTATTTAGTATTCTTTGTAGCTATTGTAAATAGGATTGGTTTCTTGATTTCTTTTTCAGATTGTTCTCTGTTGACATATATGAATTCCACTGATTTTTCTATGTTGATTTTGTGTCCTGTAATTTTGCTGAGTTCAACTATCAGTTTTAACTGCTTTTTTTTTTTTTGGTGGAATCCTTAGGCTTTGCTAAATGTAAGACCATGTCATCTGCAAACAAGGCTAATTCAACTTCTTCCTTTCCAATTCGGATGTCTCCTCTCCCTCCCCTCCCCTCCCCTCCCCTCCCCTTCCCTGTTTTACCTAATTCCTTCCCTTCTTTCCTTCTTTTACCTAATTGCTCTGGCAAGGACTTCCAGTATTACGTCAAACAAAAATAATAAAAGTGAAGATCTTTGTCTTGTTTCAGATCTTAGAGAAATGGCTTTTATGTACCCCACTCAGTATGATATTGGCTATGAGTTTTTGCTATATGGACTGTATTATTTTGAAATATGTTCTCTTTGTACCCAGTTTGTTGATGGTTTTTTTTTTATCATAAAGGGATGTTTTATTCAATGCTTTTTTCAGCATCTATTGAAATGATCATATGGTTTTGTTGTTGCTTATGTTAATGTGATATATCACGTTTAATATTTTGCATATGTTGAATCATTCTTGCAACCCTGATATAAATCCCACTTGAGTATGGTGAGTGATCTTTTTAATGTGTTGAATTTGGTTTGCTAGTATTTTGTTGAGGCTTTTTGCATTTATTTTCATTAATTATACTGGTCTGTAATTTTCTTTTTTTGTTGTGTCCTTTTCTGGTTTTGATATCAGAGTAATTCTGGCTTCTTTGAGGAGTTTGAAAATATTCTATCCTCTTATTTTTTTTGGAAGCATGTAAGTAGAATTGGCATTAGTTCTTCTTTAAGTGTTTGGTAGACTCTACCAGTTTATTCCTCAGATCCTGGGCTTTCTTTGATGGGAGACTTTTTATTATGGCTTCTATTTCATTACTTGTTTTCAGTTTGTTTAGGTTTTCTAATTTTTCATCTTTCAATCTTGGTAGGTTGCATGTGTCCAGAAATTTATGCATTTTTTCTAGGTTTTCTAATTAGTTGGCATCTGGTGGTTCATATTAGTCCGTAATGATTCTTTTTATTCTGTGGTCTCAGTTGATATGTCTTCTTTTTTGTTTCTGATTGTATTTATTTGGCTTTTCTCTCTTTTTCTTAGTTTAGCTGAAAATATATTTTTAAAAACCCAGTTTAAAATTTTTTTTTGATCTTCTATTTTTTTTAGTCTTAGTTTTATTTATTTCTGCTTTGATCTTTATTATTTCTTTCCTTCTATTTTTGGGGGCTTGATTTTTTCTCACTTTTATAGTTCCTTGAGGTGCATTGTTAGGTTGTCTATTTAAAGTCTTTCTACTTTTGGTTATTCCTATAAAATTCGCTCAGTACTGCTTTTGCTGTATCCCATAGATTTTGATATGTTGTATTTCCATTGTCATTTGTTTCAAGATATTCCTAAATTTCCTTCTTAATTTATTCATTGACCCATTGCTTGCTCAAGGGCATGTTATTTAGTTTCCATGTGTTTGTTTTGTGTAGTTTCCAAGGCTCAAACCCTCTTGTTATTGATTTCTAGTTTTATTTTGTTGTGGTCACAAAAGATATTTAATATTATTTCTACTTTTTTTTAATTTGTTGAGATATTTTTTGCAGCCTAAACTGTAGCTTACCCAGGAGAATGTTCCATGTGCTGATGAAAAGAAACTCCAATGTTTCCTTTTTGATTTTCTGTCTGAATGATCTGTCCATTACTGAGAGTGGGGTGTTAACGTCTCCTACTATTATTGCATTACAGTCTATCTCTCTCTTTAGATTTATTAATGTTTACTTTATATACTTGAGTGCTCTGATGTTGAATGCATAGATATTTATAATTGTTATATCCTTTAGCTGAACTGACACCTTTATCAGTATATAGTGATCTTCTTTGTCTGGTTTTACAGTCTTTGACTTGTAGTCTATTTTATCTGATGTAAGTATAGCTACTTCTTCCCTTTTTTGGTCTCCATTTGTATAGAATAACTTTTTCCATACTCTCATTTCCAGTCTATGTGTGTCTTTATAGGTAACGTTCACTTCTCGTAGACAGCATATAGTAGGGTCTTGTTTCTTTATCCATTCAGCCACTCTATGTCTTTTAATTAGAGAATTTAGTCCATTTACATTCAGCATTATTACCGATTAAATAAGGAATTACTATAGGCATTTTGTTGATTTTTTTTTTTTACAGGTTGGTTTGTAACTCCTCTCTTCCTTTTCTCCTTTTTGTTGCCTTCTTTGGGATTAAATGATTTTCTCTGGAAGTATGTTTCAATTCATTGTGTTTTATTGTGTATGATCTATTATAGGTTTTTGCTTTATGATTACCATGAGGCTTACAAAAAAATCTTACAGACACATGAAGTTATTTTAAAGAGATGATAACATCTTAGATGGCAAAGAGAATAATGTAAACAAATGAAATTTTAAAAATCCTCTGCAAATTAACTTAATTCCTTTCACATTTGGCTTTTGTGTTGTCTTAACTTAGATATTTTTATATTGCCTATCTCTTGACAAGTAACTGTGCATATTATTGTTTTTTATAGATTTGTATTCTGGGCTTCATTATGAGCAGATTTTTATCACAATTACAGAATTAGACTATTCTGGGGTTGTCTGTGCACTTAATTTTACCAGTGGGTTTTATATCTTCAATTTTTTTTTTGTTGTTTGTTTGTTTGTTTTCATGCACATTAGTGTTTTCTTCTTTCAGATTTAAGAACTCCCTTCAGTATTTCTTATAAGATCAGAAGGGTGGTGATACATTCTCTCAGTTTTTATTTGTCTGGGAAAGACCATCTCTCTGTATTTGAAGGATAGCTTTGCTGGATTTTGCATTCTTGGATGACAGGTTTTTTTTTCTTTCTTTTTCTTTTTTTTTTTTTCCACACTTTTAAAACATCATCTCACTCTCTCCTGGCCTGTATAATTTCATCTGGGATGTCTGTTGCCAGATCAACTGGAAGGATTTTAAAAAATATGTTATTTGCTTCTTTTTATCTTGCTGCTATTAGAATATTAGAATCCTCTCCTTGTCATTGACCTTTGAGAGTTTGAGTATTACATGTCTTGGGGTAGTCTTACTTAGGTAGAATCTATTTGTTGTTCTCTGATCTTCCTGTACTTGGATATTTATATCTTTCTCCAGTTTTGAAAGTTTTTTGTTATTTTTTCTTTAAATAAGCTCTCTTAGCCTTTTTCTTGCTCACCTCCCTGTTGAACACCAACAATTCCTAGACTTGGTTTTCTGAGATACTTTTCTATATTTTGTATTTGATATTTGTTGCTTTTCATTCTTTTTCTTCTTTCTGCTCTGTGTATTTTCAATTAAATAGGCTGCCTTTGAGCTCACAAATTCTTTCCTCTCCTTTATCCATTTGGCTGTTGAGAGCTTGTAATAATTCTTTTTCAGTTCAGTAAATGTATTTATCAGTTCCAAGATTTCTATTTTATTTTTCAATTATTTCAGTCTCTTTGTTAAATTTCTCTGATAAATTTCTGAATTGGTTTTCTGTGTTATCTGGAAGATCACTGAGTTTCCTAAAAACTGCTAAGTTTACATTTTGCTTAGAGAGCTCACATATCTCCATCTTATTAATCTCCATCACTGGTTTCTTGCTTTGCCCATTTGGAAAGGTCATGATTCTCTGTTTGCTTTTGCTTCTTGCAAGTATATGTCTATGCCTTTGCATTGAAGTATTAGCTATCTATTCCTGTCTTCTCTGTGTTATTTTTGACTTTTCCTGGATATATTTGTTTAGAGTTTCTTTGTAATTTTAGAATTTCCTTTCTTTCTTTCCTGCTAGGTCATTACCTCATATTTGGCACTAGATGGTGGCATAAGCCCAGGTTTGCCTCAGATTTAGTACACAATCAGAGCACTCCCTGCCCTGAATGAGGGAGTTCTCAAAGGGGATATCCTGGTAGTGTGGAAAAGCTTCTAGGAGTTTGTGCCAAGTGGACCTTTGGAATGCACCTCCTATAGTGTGGTGCTATTGAACAGCCACTCTGATCGGATGTTTCCTTTACCCAAGTTATAGACCACCTTTTGTCTCTGACTGTCTTCTGGAGTATTTCTCACTTCAGGCACTGGTGATGTTTCCCATGGGTTGAGGCAATGAAAGGTCTCCTGGTATGGGAAACTGGTTGTCCACCTTGGTCTCACTTTTTCCATTGTAGAAACCGGGAGTTGAGGGAAATTTTTCTGTGTGCTTGGTGCAGGGCAGATTGTGGGGCCGGGCATCACTGGCATAGAAGTTCAGTTCTCTTACCATCTGCTTGGAGTTTTTCTTCACTTCTCTGTGGCTCCAGGAACTGTCTCATCCTCATATTTCAGTTCTGGGATACTGCTGGTGATAATCTCAGTGTTGTATATTTGGTTTTGGTTTTCTGTGGGGAGGAGTGAAGCCAGCTTGCTTTTATGCTGCCATTGTGGGACTGGAAGCTCCTCACATTGCACACTCTTCAATGTTTTGTTACCTCCATGTGACTGCTCTCTAAGGCTTTGTTCTGTCTTTTGCTTTCTAGCTTTTGCTCATCATGTTCTCCAGGCCACTTCCACAGAGTTCCTTCATTTCATTATTTCAACAATTACCTCCATGCTGTGTCTTAAGCTTATCTTTTCACGTGGTATATATTTCTGTTTCCATTTGGGCATTTTCCCATCACCTTTTATTCAAATGTCCAAATCTAAATATGAATTCAATCCCCACAAAATTCTATCTTCCTAACCAAAATTCTAATATGTGTTAGTTTCATCATTATCCTCCTTATGCTTTAGACTTCTTTGCTCATCACACACTTCACCTTAGACTATTTCATATATGTTCTCACCACTTTACACAAGATAGGACACTGAAGCCGATGACTGGTTCTATCTGCCTTTGACTCCGAATTCGTGTCTCTCCAATCCATCCTGTTTATTCAGTAAAACTCATTGTCCTTAACAGACACGTTCACACTGTTACTGCTCTGTGAAGCCCATAAAGTTATCAGATCCCTGCCTCAGAAGTCAGACCACCTCAACAAGACGTGGATGTCACTTACTAGTCTTTTACTTGTAATGAGGCTATTTCCTCATCTGTTAAACAAGAATGATGACAATGTTTTGTCTGCCCTTTGCAAATAAATGATGTGGGAATACTTGAAAGAAATGTCAAGAGCCACATTTATAAATTATTATTACCATACTGTCTTTTGGTAGCACAACATTAAGTTTACACTCTTCTTGCTTTTACTCTATATGTTTTTTCTGTGTTTCCTAGTCAACATTTCTTCACTACTTCTGATAAGGAACCTTTTAGGAGAAGCTTCTCACTGACTCAAAACTTATAATAAAGGTCATCTCACTCTTTCATTTTTATTGGTTTTTCCCTTTGTCTGAGTTATTATTCTCTTTTATATACACCTGCCAAGATATATTGTTATGTTCAGTTCAACCTTTATTTCCTACATGGACATTTTCCTATAGCATTACTCTAATACATTTCTTCCTTTTTAAAACTATTATTGCTAGTCTGTTGCAATACTTACTATAACAGGTAATTACTCTTTTGTTGTTATTATTATTATTCCAGTTTTCACTTTAGCAACTACCACACTTTGGCGAGTATGGTAGGTGCTTAATAGTAGTTTTGATTGACTGATATAAGTAGCAAGTATTATATAATATAGAAAATATAAATCCCTCTTTCACATATTTTATACCTAATTTTTTTGTTTGAGAGATGATGCAAAAATTGCATTACATTAACAAAACAAAAATTATTACATTATGAGTCTGAAATTGCTAGATATAGACATACCAATCTTTGTATTCAAGTGAATCACAAGGACATATCAGCCTAAATAATAAATTAGAAGTCTGCAATGTGCTTGTGCCACTTGACAATGAGTCCCATCGACATAAACTGATACCATGGACAGATTTCTTATTAATCATGCTTCACCGGGTCATTGGGTTAAACATTTAAATAATAGGCTAATAGGAGTCTTGCTGGCAATTTAATTCCTGCTTTCTAGGCTCTGTAAGACAGAGTCACTCCTCTCTTTCCCTGGAGGAGGGGAAGTCCATCAAAATGTCATTATTCTACATGTGTAACAGAGTAATTTCTCTTGGTTTCTATATAGGTAAATTTGCAGTTGGCAATTGGCGATGAAGTGTCACTGATTGATCCTCACAGACTCATTCCTTTCCCCTCCTTACAACAAAGATCCTGTTTTTAATCACCTTACTGTGTACTTCCTTTGCCTTATCCATTATGCAAGGAGGTCAGCTAGTAACACTCAATATGACTAATTAAAGAAAGAACTCCAAGGTAAAGTGCACAGAGGCACTTTGGTAATTGCTGTGATATCCATAAATAATAATGACAACTAATGAGACCCATAATAGCTTTGTAAACAGTAATTTGCCCACTCACAGGAAGTGAATAACAATTTACACTGAGTGAGGAGAGTCAACTCTCATGGGTCATTTGAGCATTTCTTTTTCTGCTCTCTGTAGCCAACTGTTTTTGGCATTTCAGGAATTTCTGGAGGGGGTCGACTTATAACCTCGCTCTAAATGATAGCACAGTGTTTCAATGCATGGAATGAATAGCATGTTCTTTGCGTGGGCTACTTTATTTTTAAAATATTTAGTTAGGCTAATTTGAAATATCTCTGGAGATGGTAAGAAGAGTGGCCATATTCAAATACAAAAGAAATTCAGAAAGTTGTTAGAGGTTACCTAATAAGAAAACTGAGGCCAAGTAAGGTGAAGAAATTTGTGCAAGAACTTAAAACTTCTTTGTGCCAGAGTAGGGACAAGAAGATAGAATCTCTGGACCTGCGCCAGTTATCTTCACAGAGCCGATCTCTGAGGGCTTTGAAAATCATGAGCAGGGGTGTGGCTTGAATTGTATTGTGAAGCCCCCTTGGTGATGTCATGCTACTGTCTAGTAGCTAAACTGACTACAAATAGCACACTGCTAAAGTAGAAACATAAAATCATACAGGTGAAACAAATAGCCAGAAGTACATCAAAGCAGGTAGCATAACGAAAGACCTGAGGATCACTTTCCAAATTCAGGTGGAAGCTTCTCACTCTGACTTAATAGCGAGGAAACAGACAAATACACTTAGGTTCTGGGTAGTACTTTGTTGCCTGGAAAATTGCTTTTCCGTCGGGACAGTTATATCTCTTGAATATCATTCTCCTTTTTAAGGATAAAAACACAATTCCTGAATGTGGCCTTATCTTTTCCTATATGCTCAGAGTAGCCATCTTCCTCCTATTCAGGAATTTGTATCTGCTTAGCTTTTTGGTTTTTTTTTTTTTGGTCTGGGAAAGTTGATCTCATTCTTCTTTTGCTAGTTAATACCTGTTAATCATTCAAATCTTAGATCAAGTGGCATTTCCTAGGGAATATCTTCCGTGATTTTGACAGGTAAAATCCATCCCTTTATTATAGACTCTGACAACATCGGGAATTTTTGCAGCAGCTGTCACAGTTGTAGTTGAGTACTTGTTGTCCAGTTTATTTGATAAATATGGATCTCCATCATTAGGCGTATTAGTCCATTTTCATGCTGCTGGTAAAGACATAACCGAGACTGGGAAGAAAAATAAGTTTAATGGACTTACAGTTCTACGTGGTTGGGGAGACCTCACAATCATGGCGAAAGGTGCAAGGCACATCTCACATCGTGGTAGACAAGGGGAGAGAGATTCTGCAGGGAAACTCCCATTTTTAAAACCATCAGATCGTGTGAGACTTATTCACTATCACAAGAACAGCAAGGGAAAGACCCCACCCCCATGATTCAATTACCTCCCACTGGGTCCCTCCCACAACACGTGGGAATTCAAGATGAGATTTGGGTGGATATATAGCCAAACCATATCATTAGGTTTCAAGTCCCATGAGACCAAGACACTCTCTGTTTTTACAAACTGTTTTATTACCCTTCCCTAGAATGTGCCTGACACATTGTAGGTACTTAGTTTGATTAAATAAATACATGTATGAAATGAAATAAAACAAGAATCATTTTAGAGAGAAAGAAAAACACTGCACTTTGCTTTGTGAGAAATGCTGGATAGACTGTCTAGACAGAGCCCATTTCTGCCTTACTCACTGCTGGATCTCCAGCACCTGGCTTTTTACAGGTTCACCTGACACCTGAGCTTGCAAGATATGTCTAGTTATTGAATGGTTAAATATTTCTATGTTAGGAGGTAAATGTGGCTGTTGACTAGAGTTAAAATTCTAAAAATGTTAGCAAGTATATTGGCCAGTGGGAAATTGATTAGTTTTGTGAGAGGTTTACTTATGAAATGATTCCATATACCACCAAGATTCCATATGTTGGTGGGAATGGATAAGCACCAGCTCAGCTTGTTTCAGAATTACAAACTTGAGTGAAGTTCCCACATTCTCTGCAAGTTCTAGTTTACATCTGAGGGAGAATTTTGTGAGTGAAGCTTAGGCAGTCCCATTTGAATTCTTTTACCCATTCTCATTTATTAAAACTTAAGGAAGCCTTCAACAAATGGTACTGGATCACCCAGATATTCACGTGCAAAAAAATGAAGTTAGACCACTTACCTTATGCCATGTTTGAAATTAACTCAAAATGGACCATAGACATGTATAAGAGCTAAAGCTATAAAACTCTTAGAACATAGAAGAGTACATCTTGGTGACTTTGGATTAGTCACCAAGAAACAATAGTTTCTTAAATATGACACCTAAAGCATAAGAAACAAAGGAAAAAAATAGATAAATTGTACCTCATTGATATTAAAATTTTTTGCTTCCAAGGAGAAAAGACAAGCCACATAATGGAAAAAAATCTTTGTAAATAACATATCTGATAAGGAATTTGTATCCAGAATAGATGAATTACCCTCACAATTCAACAACAAAAATGCAAATTATTCAATTAAAAATGGGTAAAGCCTCAACAAACTAGACACTTAAGGACCACACCTCAAAATAATAAGAGCCAGAGCCATCTATGACAAAACCCCTGCCAACCACATACTTGAACAAACAAAAGCTGGAACCATTCCCCTTGAGAACCAGAACAAGAGAAGGATGTCAACTCTCACCACTTTTATTCAACATAGTACTAGAAGCCCTAGCAACCAAAATCAGGTAAGAGAAAGAAATAAAAGTCATTCAAATATGAAAAGAAGTTGTTAAACTACCTCTTTTTGCTGACAAAGTGATTCTATACCCAGAAAACCTGAAATATTCTGCTGAAAGTCTCCTAGAACTAATAAATGACTTCAGTAAAGTTTCAGAATACAAAGTCAATACACAAAAATCAGTAGCATTTCTATACACCAATAACATTCTATCCAAGAACCAAATCAAGAATACTATCTCATTTACAAAAGTCACAAAAAATTAAATACCTAAGTCTACATCTAATCAAGGAGGTGAAAGATTAATTAAATACCTTGGTCTACATGTAACCAAGGAGGGAGAACTAAAAAACACCAATGAAAGAAATCAGAGACACACAAACAAATGGAAAAACATTCCATGCTTAAGGATTGGAAAAATTCATATTGTTAAAATATCTATTGTGTCCAAAACAGTCTAGAGATTTAATCCTATTCCTATCAAACTACCAATGACATTTTTTACAAAAGGAGAAAAAATGATTCTAAAAATTTGTATAGAATCAAACAGAGCCCAAATAGCCAAAGAAATAAGCAAACAAACAAAATAAGCAAACAAACAAAAAATAAAAGCAAACAAACAAAAACCCCCAAAAAACTGGAGCCATCACATTACCCAACTTCAACGTATACTACAAGGCTATGGCAGCCAAAACAGTGTGGTACTGGTGCTAAAACTGGCCCATGAATCAATTGAACCAAATTGAGAACTCAGAAAAAAAAAAGCCACATACCTACAACCATCTGATCTTCAACAAAGTTGGTAAAAACAAACAATGGTGAAAAGACACTTTATTCAATAAATAGTGCTTGGATAACTGGCTAGCCATATGACAAAGAATAAACTGGACCCCTACCTATCATCATACACAAAAATAAACTCAAGATCAATTAAAGAATTGAATGTAAGGCCTTAAACTATAAAAATCATAGAAAAAAGTGTAGGAAATACCCTTTTTGATATCAGCTTTGAGAAATAACTTATGGCTAAGTCCTCAAAAACAATTGCTACATAAACAAAAATTAACAAGTGGGACCTAATTAAACTTGAGGGCTGCACAGCAAACCAAACTATCTACAAGGTAAATAAACAACGTACAAAATGGGAGAAAATAAAAACTATGCATCTGATAATGGTCTAATATCCAGAATTTATAAAGAACTTAAAGAAATCAATAAGCAAAAAGCTCATTAAAAATGGGCAAAAGACATGGACACTTCTGATAAAAAGATACATGAATGGCCCAAAAACATATAAAAAATGCTCAGGATCTTTAATTATCAGAGAAATGCAAATCAAACCACAATGAGATACCAACTTACACCAGTCAAAATGGCTATTATTAAAAAGTCAAAAATCAAAAATAAAAACATACAAACAGGTGATGGTGAGGCTGAGGAGAAAAGGGGACACTTGTATACTCTGGGTGGGAATGTGAATTAGTCCAGCCACTGTGGAGAGCAGTTTAGAGATTTCTTTCTTTTTTTTTTTTTTGAGACGGAGTCTCACCCTGTCTCCCAGGCTGGAGTGCAGTGGCACGGTCTCGGCTCACTGCAACCTCCGCCTCCCAGGTTTTACGCCATTCTCCTGCCTCAGCCTCCAGAGTAGCTGGGACTATAGGCATACACCACCTATGCCCAGCTAATTTTTTTTGTATTTTTAGTAGAGATGGTGTTTCACCGTGTTAGCCAGGATGGTCTCGAACTCTTGACCTTGTGATCCGCCTGCCTCAGCCTCCCAAAGTGCTGGGATTACAGGCATGAGCCACCACGCCCGGTGGAGATTTCTGAAAGAACTAAGAGCTGGACTACCATTTGACCCAGCAATCCCATGATCAGGTATATACCCAAAATAAAACAAATTATTCTGCCAAAGGACAGATGTACCTGTATGCTCATTGTAGCACTATTCACAATAATAAAATCATGGAATCAATGCAGGTGCTTATCTTGGTGGATTAGATAAAGAAAATGTGGTACATACACACCATGCAATACTATGCAGCCATAAAGAAGAATAAAATCATGTTCTTTGCAGCAACATGGATGCAGCTGGAGGCCATTATCCTAAGTGAACTATTGTAGAAACAGAAAATCAAATACCACAAGTTCTCACTTATAAGTGGGAGCTAAACATCAGGTTTACGGACATAAAGATAGGAAGAATAGAAACTGGGGACTAGTAGAGGAGGAAGACAGGAAGACGGGCAAGTGCTGACAAACAACCTGTTGAGAACTGTGTTTATCACCTGGCTGATGGTTCAGTCATACCCCAAACCTCAGCATCATGCAATATATCTTTTAAATACACATGCACAGGTATCTCCTGATTTTAAAATAAGAACTACATAAAATGGGTAAAGGATTTGAATAAATATTTATCCAGGGGAGATTTATAATAGTCCAATAAGCAAATGAAAACATGCTCAATGCCATGAGTGATTAGAAAAAAATAAAAAAGCACAATGAGATACTCCCTCATACTCAAAGACAACCAAGATAAAAAAGACAGACAATAACTAGTGTTGGTGAGGATGTGGAGAAAATGGACCACTGATACACTGCTGGTGGAACTGTAAAATGGTGCAGCCACTTAGGCAAACAGTCTGGCAGTTTCTCAAAATGTAAATAAGAACTGGCAATTGCACTTCTAGGTATACACTCAAGAAATCTGAAAACATACATTCACACCAAAGTTTGTACACAAGTATTTATACGAACATTATTTAAAACACCTAAAAAGTGAAAACCACCCAAATAATCATCAACAGATGAATGGATAAAGAATGTGGCATATTTATATAATTGAATATTATTCAGCATTTAAAAAAATGAAGTATTGAAACTCACTACAGTATGGATAACCCTTGAAAGTATTATGCTCAGTGAAAGGAGCCAGACACAAAGGTCACATATTAAATGATTACTTTTATATGATACATTTGGAAGAGGCAAATCCATAAAGACAGAAAGTAGGTTAATGGTTTTCAGGAGCTGGGGGGCGGGGGAATGAGAAGTGAATGGTATTGGGTACAGAGCTTCTTACTGGGGTTATGGAAATGTTCTAAATTTAGAGTGTGAAGATGGTTGTACATCTCTGTGAATATACTAAAAAACACTGAACTGAGAACTTTAAAAAATGAATTTTATGGGATGTGACTAACCTCAATAAAGCTGTTATTAAAAAATGAACTAAAAACACTCAAATAAAAACTATAAGAACTTATACCTATGTGCATTATTCAAATTACATTCTAAAGTTATCTATAATTGAAAGTGATAAATGTTATGCTTTAATATAGGCCATTTTTAAACATCCTGGAATTTGCACAAAATTAATTTTTAGGTTATTTTTACTCAATATATTTGCATTTACTACTTACAAAATGAGCCATTTAGAGCAAAGATTACCAGATATGACTATGAATTACAATCAAATAGAACACTAATATCTAAAAATTTTAGTCATGAAGTATTTCAAATATAGATTCAAAAGAGTATGTCATCACACTGATGTATGTTTATCTGTGATAAGGATTTATCACTCTATGCTTAGTATAAGAAATTTTGTCATAAATGGAGGCTGACTTTCATCAAGTGCTTTTTTTCTGGCTATATTAATATAATCATGTTTATTTTTCTTCAATTTGTTAACATGGATTCCATTCATTCATTCCAACACATAACTGCTCACCATAGCATATGTGTGTCCTTTCTTTTATATACTTCTGGTGGATGTTGGCAAGTGTACTGGGGGGGCACTAGAGTGTGACCTCCATGATGTCAGGGACACACTATCTCCAGCCAGCCAGCAAGCAATCAGAGTCTTGTCTCTGGTGGTGAACTTAAAGTGTCTTCTTTCAGAGATGATTTTATTTGTGCTTTTTCAGGCTACACAAGGGAATCTTAACTAAGGACTAATGAGTTTAATTTTTTTCTTGGGATTTTGGAGCTTAGATGTAGTATGAATTCTAGTGACAAACTCATATGAGCTTGTAGTTTGGAATTATAACGTGAAGATAATAAGTATTTTCACATTTTCCCCTGGATAGATTTTTTTCAGACTTACTCATAGAAGGCATCACCCTGTTTCTGCTTTTGAATAATAATAATTTGAATAATAATAATAATAATTTGAATCTTTAGATTCTGTGGTTTCTTAAAACTTAGGCAAAGTTGTTACGGCAGAAACTGGCTCCATTACTAAATCACCTCTCTAAATTCGCAGTTCTGCATTGTTTTAGCTTTAGAATAATTTCATTTACTTTCATATAAGGTCAGCCATTCATGAGAGCTTTGTTTGTTTGTTCTATTACCCTCATCGATGATGTTTTTAAGTTTCGTAGCCTTCTTAGATTAGATATAATGATTAATTATGTGTGCAAAAACTTGTCAATACTGACTTTGTTATTAATGGACATTTATACCTTTGCTTGTCTTATATTCGGAAAGTTGTAAGATGGAGGCTTGGTATAATCAGAGAAATGTCAAGACCTACATTCCACAAATCTGTTGCATTTAACCCTATTTCTATAAGATGCTCTGATAACACAGGATCTCATCATGAAATAAAGCTGGGAACCATTGCATACCAAAGCCTCATTTTAGATTTACGATGAACATTTGCACAGTAAAAGTCCCAAGAAGTCACACCATAAATATCACTGTTTTATGTTGCTTAACATTTTTCTTAAAGCCTATTAATATTTGAAGAAAATAGTATTCTGTAGAATAAACTTTCTTATTTTACAAGTGAAGAAACACAATCTTAATCAGGCTTATGGATAGATACAATTAGAACAGAGTGAGGAGGAGAAATAAAGTCATGCTCTCAGTTAATTTATCTTGCTCCACACTGCACATATCTTATATCAGAGAAGCAAGTAGGGATCCAAAAGAAATGGGTTGCAGATGACATAAATATGCATATATTTGTAATTAGTAACATAATAAGTTCCAGCATATAAAAGCCTTTCCAAAAGTGATCTCTAGTATACTTGGACAGTCAACAAGGAAAGATGAACACATTACATTTTAGATTGGTGGTAATAAAAAGATCAGGCATTCAACAAAAAGCAGTGGAGAAGACCAGAGCACTCACTTCTCCTCCTTCTGCTTTTGACCAATTGACCTATTATTAACTACTTGCTAAGCAGGTATTTGAAAGGACACAAATGACCTCTCTCTTAATGAATTCTTTGATGTGGAATTAATGTTCAAAGACATTTAAATTCTGTACAACACAAAACTACTTTTTTCCTTTTATTCCTTTAAAACCTCTGCTTATAAGCATTAAGGAATTATCTTAATCCCATAAAGACAAAAAATTTAAAGTTAAAAAAAAGAAACTATTCCATCATATTGTAGAAATCTTTTAAAAGTCAGTTAGTCTACCATGACAAACACCTTGACTATTTTACCTTCATATCTTGCCATTGCACAAACTGAATTTTATTTATTTTTCACCAATATTATTTAAACATTCTCACTTACTAAAAAAAATCTGGCCGGGTGCGGTGGCTCACGCCTGTAATCCCAGCACTTTGGGAGGCTGAGGGGGGTGGATCACGAGGTCAGGAGATCAAGACCATCCTGGCTAACACAGTGAAACCCCATCTCTACTAAAAATACAAAAAATTAGCCGGGCGTGGTGGCAGGCGCCTGTAGTTCCAGCTACTCGGGAGGCTGAGGCAGGAGAATGGCGTGAACCCAGGAGACGGAGCTTGCAGTGAGCGGAGATCATGCCACTGCACTCCAGCCTGGGCAACAGAGCGAGACTCCGCCTCAAAAAAAAAAAAAAATCTGAATTTACTCCTTTTTGTATCACAGAAATCTTTTAACAAATAAATTCTTAAATAAAGTCCATATAGAATGCTTTGGTGAAGAAGATGTAGAGAATTTGCAGCTCAATTTTCTTAGCCATTCTCCAAACCATTTACCCCCAAGTCATGCAGACACCTCCTCAAAACCCTTAAGACTCCACACAAACACCGTGAAAGACTGTAGAAATCTTACTGGAAAGGGATCCCAATCCAGACCCCAAGAGAAGGTTCTTGGACCTCACGCAAGAAAGAATTAGGGATGAGTCCATAGACTAAAGGGAAAACAAGTTCATTAGAAAAGTAAAGGAAATAAGAATGGTTACTCCATAGGCAGAGTAGTGGTATGGGCTGCTGCACTTAGTATACTTACAGTTATTTCTTGATTATATACTAAAGACGGGTGGATAATTCATGAGTGTTCTGGAAAAAAGGCGGGCAAAAAAAAAAAAAAAAAAGGGCGGGGAGGAGCTCTGGAACTGAGGGCTCCTCCGCACTTTAGACCATACAGAGTAACTTCCGGATGTTGCCATGACATTTGTAAGCTGTCATGGTGGGAGTGTCTTTTAGCATGTTGATGCATTATAGTTAGTGTATAATGAGCAATGAGGGTGACCAAGGTCACTTTTATCTCCATCTTGGTTTCAGTGGGTTTTGGCTGGCTTCTTTACTGTATCCTGTTTTATCAGTAAGGTCTTTGTGACCAGTATCTTGTACTGACCTCCTATTTCATCCTGTGACTAAGAATTCCTAACCTTCTGGGAATGCAGCCCAGTAGGTCTCAGCCTTATTTTACCGAGCTCCTATTCAAGATGAAGTTGCACTGTTTCAAAGGCCTGACAGAAACAGATGAGAAACCTGAAGTTCTGTCTTTGCTATCCCTTTCCCCTTAAGCTTCATCTCCTAGCAGTTCTGCATAAAATGGCAGAAGTAGTTCTGCATAAAGTGGCCATCCACTACTAAGTCAGCTTTTGTTATAATCCACTCTTAGTTCTTACTGACTTCCATCTGCTATTCTCAGTCAAACCTTAGATGCCCATTATTTTCCCTTAAACAAGAGAACCCCAGGACTTAACTCTTTTACAGCCTAGTGCAATACTAAACCCACAGGCAGTTCTAGGATTCTGCACTACAATGCTTTCTAAATTCCATTAACTCACAGCATTTATGTGTATCTGACTTGAAAGACTTGAGGATAATCTGAAATAAATATATTACAAGGAAAATAATCACACTAGATGTTAAATATGTCTGTTTTCAGACCAGAGAGGAGAAATATAATTTATATCTCTGCAAGATTTCCTTAATGAGCACATTATTGTTCCTAGCCTTGTCTGTCTGAGTCTACATTTCATCCTGTAATTAGCCCTTCACCCTCCACTCTTTTATCCTTTTACTAGGGAAACCCATGATTAAATAATCCATAGTCGATTTTCAGAAAAGTTCGAATTGTTCTGGCTAGAACCAACACCAGGGGTGGGCAGACTTCAGCAGAACAGTGAAAAATGGCTTTAGTCATTTCAAGCCTTCACCTCTTTAAAACCTTAATTTCCCTCCGACCCCTGGTTTTTGTCCCTTGTTAAATTTTGGAAAGTAAAGATACTCACAAAACTATAAACACTGGCTGGATGTGGTGGTTCATGCCTGTAATCCCAGCACTTTGAGAGACTAAGGTGGGAGAATTGCTTGAGGCAAGGAATTCGAGACCAGCCCTGGCAATGTAGGGAGACCCTTTACCTGAAAAACAAAAACAAAAAAAAAACAAAGAGGCCAGGCGCGCTGTGGCTCACACCTGTAATCCCAGCACTTTGGGAGGCCAAGGTGGGTGGATCATTTCAGGTCAGAAGTTTGAGACCAGCCTGGCCAATATGGTGAAATCCCGCCTCTACTAAAAATACACAAATTAGCCAGGTGTGGTGGTGAGTGCCTGTAGTCCCAGCTACTCAAGAGGCTGAGGCAGGAGAATCACTTGAACTCGGGAGGCAGAGGTGGCAGTGAGCCGAGATCGCACCACTGCACTCCAGCATGAGAGACAGAGCAAGACTCCAGTCAAAAAAGAAAGAAAGAAAGAAAAAGAAAGGAAAGAAATAAAGAGAGAGAGAAATATAAACACTGACAACACACAAGTCATTTTCAGAGACAGAATCTACATTATTATTGAAAAAAAGAATTATTTTCCAGATGGCTCTATAATATGACTTTTCCCAGCCCACAATGTATATAACATTTAACATAATTTTTAAAGAAAATTCAATCTCCCATTCTTAAATATTTCAAACCTGCAATCTATTAAAAATTACTATTTGCTATAGTGATTAATATATTTTAATGAAATAAAATATTATAAATACATTTAAAGTCTAAGGTAACAGTTCAGTCAGTGTGTTTATTTCTAGTAAGTGTGTTTATATTTTACTGCATGTGGGTTCAAAAAAAGTTTCACTTTTAGGGCTCCAATCCAAGCCCTAGGGTCTTTAGGTCCTATTACTAAACCTTTCCAAACAACATTTACCTCTGGTTTGTTCACAGTTAATTGCACAAAGAACCTAGAAATAGGAGGAGGGAGTATCTAAATTTACTGGGACCCGAACTTGTGCAGGTGCTTTACCTATCTTTTCATATTTCATGATAACATTCATTATATAAATGGAGAATTTGGGACCCTAAGAGTTTAGGGTCTTAAACCAGGCCTCATGCTTGTAAAGAGTCAGTATTTGAAACTCATTTAGCCTTCCTGCCAAGCTGGAAGAGAAACGTGGCATCGCTGCTCTCTAGAGTAGGTTTATTATTTAAACTATGAAGTGATTGATGTTAATGTTAGTACTGTTAAATGAAGGCTAACTCTGTAATGGAATATGTATATCACTTTAACAAGTACCTCACCAATGCTTTCTAAATATTGTTCACAATAGAATTTTCCATTTCTAAATACATGATCAATTCAGGGAGATATCTCCAAAATTAATTTGATAGTCATGATGAAAGCTTTGGGACTTTTAATATAAAATATAGATTATCAAGATCACTACCATAATAACAAAGACATTCTTAAAAATAACTAGCTACAAATTATGGATGGAACAAATGGGACGTATGGAATAATAAATTTTTAGTAGACTTTTGACAATGATATGCACATAATTTTAAAAGATAACATCTTGAAATATTACTATTTTGGGGTCTTCTAAGACTTTGAAATCAATGTTGGAAATAAGTTAATATTATGTATTTATTCTATTTTCAGGAAAGCAGTTTGTAATGTGTTTCTATTGATATTACCCTTAATGTAACTTTACAACAATGAGCTATTCATGCTCCATTGTTTTGATGATCTTAACTAGGATCTAATATATGACATTCAGAAGATATTGTAATATTGGCCCTACAACTTAATGAAGGGCAGCATTACTTACTTTTATTTTTCCACAGGCAGCTGGAACTTAACAGCTGTGTGACTAATAAAACATGGCATCTACTTTCTAATATAGAAGCAAGAAAGTAAAGCTACCAACATTATTGTAAACTGGGTCACAGTCACATAACATGTTATCTGAAAAAGCTGAGTGGTGCTGCAATTAATGAATCACCTGGAACTATAACTGGGCTGAGGTTTTTTTTTTTTTTGACCTAACCCATTTTTCAGAAAACTAAATGCAAAGCTTTGCAGAAAGAAAACAAAAATTTAATGGCATCATTATCACATATACACATAATATAAATCAAGTATTGAGTAGTGGAGGAAAAGGGTAGGTAACAGAAGTAATATTTATAGAGTGCTCATTTTTTTATTGATATGTACTATGACTCTTATATAGGTGCCTTATTTAACCCCCACAAAAAAATCTTGTGCATTGATATTATGATTCCCATTTTACTGATGACAAAACTGAAGTTTATAATGTTTAAGTAATTTCAGCAGGTATGAATGAGGTAAAAAGTCATTCAATTTGACTCCAGGACCATACTTCTTCCCAACAAACCTCAGTGCCCATGAATGAAAAATACATTTTGAAGGGTGAATGTTCCTTGAGTGCCCCAAAGAAGAGATTTTGACATAGAACTTGGCCTGCAAAATGCTTGTTTATACTCTTAAAATTAATGCTTGTGGAAGGGAGGAGATGAAGCAGGAGCAAGCAGAGAGAGAGAAGTCAAGCTGTGACAGAGACCCAAGCTGACGGAGGTCATAGGAGCTGAGGCAAGTTTTTCACTGAAGGAGGATCTGGGTGGCCTCTCACAGTGCCCACCTCAAAGTTACCAGGTGGGCTAAGGGCTTCCCAACAAAACTTATGAGTTTAAAAATGTATAGAGGATGACAGTTTTTTGCATTTGTGAGATATTTCAATGGAATGGCTAGTTTACCTATTATAAGCTGAAATTGCAATACAACGGATTCATTGCAAGATTAAGAAACAAGAAAAGGAGGCCAGTGCAGTGCAGTGGCTCAGGCCTGTAATCCTAGCACTTTGGAAGGCTGAGGTGGGTTGATAGCTTGAGCCCAGGACTTCGACATGAGCCTGGACAATATAGTGAGACCCGCACCTCTACAAAAAATAAATTAGAAAAAAAAAAGAAACAAGAAAAGGTATTTTCTGTTTCATTACAAGTAGATTGTTGAGTTTAAGACAGTGGTGGAAAAAGTATTTTCTAAGATAAACTGGAAAGCTACCTCTCCAAGAAAATTGCCAGAAAGGCAAAACCATAAGGTGAATAACACTGGCCAGGGAGTGTGTCTACACTGTCAAGAAATCCTGCCTAGCCAAAGGCAATTCCCAGGAAATGGTGGAGATACAAGTTCTGAGGATAATGGGAATTTGATTTCAGTTGAGATTTTGGTCTCTGAATGTACTATTATTTTGAAAAATGGCAATATGATACAACTATTACGATTTATCTGGCAAAATGCATTCTAGAATGATGATTTTTAAAAATTAGGCATTTCCCTGAATAACATCAAGTTCATAAAATGTTTTATTGGTAATGTAAACATGTTTGTTTAATTTTTTACCTGTTAGCTTACTGTTTTCTGCTTATGCATTCATTTTCTGCTTATGCATTCACAAACCTTAAAGTTTGTGTTTCTTCACATATCTATATCCTTTCATTCTCTCTTATTTCCACTGACTTTAGATCTCCTTCATTCTGAGAGATGAGAGCCATGAAAATGAAAGAAAATAGAAAAGAGTTGACAATAAGATCCAAAGAAATATCGCCTAGACAAAAGTAAGTGACAGTTTGGAAAGAGCACCAAGAAATAGGGTAGGAATCACTTTGTCTTGGGTTTATTTAACTCCCTGTAAATATCACTTCAAATGAAAGATAGGTACCAAGGACAGCTTACATACCTGGCACTCAGCAGACTCTCAGAAAATAGTAAGTGAACACCAATTAAAGGACAAATAAATCCAGTTTATGGCATTATTAGACTGTATTAAGAGTTATTTATGGCCACAATTCAAAATTATTAGAATTGGGAGGGGACTATTAAGATGTCTGTGGCATTCTCCGTGTGACTTGCAAGTTGAGAGATTATCACCTGTGATAACTTCCAAGGATGTTACACAGATAATAGCTATGTCTTCTTAAATTATTATTTCTTGAGGTATCTATGTTAATATAATTATTAAAGAAATCTACCTACCTAAACTTCTAGAATTGCATTCCATTGTAAACTTTAGAAAAGCTTAGATACCGTTTGTTGAGAATGATTTAGGGACAAAAATTTCTATTTGTTTTGAAGTAGAAACCAGGGGAAGAAAAAAAGCCCAGTTAAAAACAGAACACCTCTGTTATTGGGAGCAGAGTCTCTCTTGATCCTCACTGCATCATTTTCCTTGATCTTGCTGACTTGGAAAGCTTAGTCTCAGAGTTGAAGCCACAGACACTGCACAGAAAGAGATGAAGATGACGAGCAAAAGGAGAGAAAACATTCTATACTTTTGGTGAAAAATAGACTCAGAGAGGAAATTTAAAAACAGGCATTAAAGCTAGAAAAAAAGTCAGAAAAAAATTATAAAGCTGCTATAGGTAGTAAAGGAATTCCTTTGTAATTGATGAAGAGAGAAAAGATGGGATACGTTTCCTTTAAAACAGTAGTTGGAAAGAAATGATATCCTGGAGCACATGTGCTAATCATCATCTGGACAAATAGCCATATGATTAGTATGTTACTGACCAATTCATTCCACTGGCTCTTGATTGATGTGCTCTTCTTTAATGCATGCATGCCTTCACTCATTCAACAACTCTTTCTGGGAACATTCCGTGTAAGTCACTAACTGTACTCCATGATGGAAATCTCTTTGTGAATGAGACTAAAACCTTTCTTGTCTTCTTAAAGTTTGAAAGCTACTGCTTGGGTGAGTGTTAGCAATCCTATAAAAAAAAATGAGCCGTAGATATATGAAGAAATATTATCCTCTAAAATGTACAGGTCTGTCTGACTCAGGCTGAAGGTCACCTTGTTTTAGTCATTTTCTTTCTTTGGATCCTACTTACTATGCATATATCCCTAGCTTTCTGAATTTGTTAAATAAAAAGAAATTTGTGTATATTTAAAATGTTGTATTTTTATTTACTCTATTATCAAGTGAATCAGGCTTCCTACAGTGCACTACCTGGATTTCAGTCTCAACTCTGTAACTTATTCCCTATGTGACCTTGATAAAATATATATATCCTCTTGATAACCTATGTATATTCCCATCCATTAAAAGGACATAATAATAGTACTTGTGCCATGGGTTTGAGTATAGGGTGAGATAATGCATGAGATTGGGCATCTTTTCCCATGGTTATTAGCTATTTATGATTTATCTTCTGTGGTATGTGTATTTTTGTCCTTTGCCAATTTTTTGATTGAGGAATCAGTCCAGTCTCTAAATCCAAGTTGAATTATTTGGGAGATTATTTTCATGCCTACCTTTCTCTTTTTCTAGGTGACTGATGTGGGCCTGAGCTAGGGTGTACACTGGCTGGTTCTATGAGGAGGGGAAGAGGAAATGAGGGTAATAGATCCACTGTAATACTAGATTAGGCTGGATTCTGACTTCCATAATGAGGAGATCTATTTGTCTATGTATTATCTATCTATTAATTACCTACCTATTGTCTGTATATATGCACACACATATAGACATATATACATATGCAGATATACATACATAGACATATGTACTGTCCGTCTATATACATATATGTGCATATATATGCATCTATAATTATTTTTGCTATTTTTAATTAAGAGAAGGAAATGAACTGTTTCAAAGTAGTATGGTAGAGACTTTTGTTGCTAGCCAAAAGGAGAGAAAAAGCCTGGAAGCAGGATCAACTCTAACAAGCCCCCACAACACCATTTGAAGTTATATGTTGTATTAGGCTGTTCTGGAATTGCTATAAAGACACAGTTGAGACTGGGTAATTTATTAAAAATAGAGCTTTAATTGGCTCATGGTTCTGAAAGCTTTACAGGAAACATGGTGCTGGCATCTGCTTGGCTTTTAGGGAGGTCTCAGGAAGCTTAGAATCAAGGCGGAAGGCAAAGAAGGAGTAGGCATGTCACATGGTGAAAACATGAATTAAATGACCAATCTTGCAAGACCTCACTCACTATTGCACCAAGACAGCACCAAGATGTGAGGGATCCACCCCCATGATCCAGACACCTCCCACCAGGACCCACCTCCAGCACTGGGGATTGCAATTCAACATGAGACTTGAGCAGAGATAAATATTCAAACCATATTATATGTAATGTTATCATATTACATAAAATATTATTTATATAGCCAGGCGCAGGGCATGCACTTGCATTCCAAGCTACTCAGAAGGCTGAGCCATGAGGATCACTTGAGCCCAGGAGTTCTGGGCTGTAGTGCATTGTGGGTATCAGGTATCTGCACTGAGTTCTGCATCAATCCGGTGACCTCCTGGGAAGTGGGGGACCACCAAGTTGCCTAACAAGGGGTGAACTGGCCCCTGTCAGAAATGAACCAGGTCAGAAGTCCTGTGCTGATCCCTAGTGGGATTGCACCTGTGGATAACCATTGCACTCCAGTCTGGGCAACATAATGAGATCCTGTCTCCAATATAGATACAAAATTTATATAGCTATTCATTTAAGTGAGTGAGAAGTGTATGGAGTAATTCTGGAGCCTTGTGAATTTCCTAAAAATAGGAAATTAATGCAATGTAAAATGAATATACATTATACAATTCTGTTTTCAATTGTCTGTTTGATGGAAGCAATTATAAAATACACTTTGTTTTAATTTAATGGCTTCCTTAGATACTCTATTATAAAAAGAGGCATTGTAAGATAGTATTACATTTGTCATTCATTGCTCTTGCTGTTTACATTTTGTTATTCTGATCAGTTTAAATACTGATGTGGAGGAGTATTCTTTACTTCCTTGGTCTAATGCATTATTATTAAGATGTTTAGCAATATTACATATTTAAAATAGCAGTCTAACATTTGTTACATTGTGTATATGCTACACCAAAGTTTGCTAATTCTCTACTGAGTTACTTCAAAATAAGTATACTAAAATAATATATGAGATCTACAAAAAATACGTAGTTGGTAGTAAGGAAGCATTGGTATTTTAAATCCTTAGCCCTTTATCAAATATTCTAGACATTTGTGTTTTTTTTAAAAAAATCTAATCTCCTACCACAACAGAAAGACTTTAATTCATATTCAAGAAAATTTTGAAAACTTCAGTAACATTTTCAGTTTTCAAATGCAAAGTTTACTATACCAAACCATATGTTTATTTTTTCACCAAATCAGCTAAATAGGGAACACATTGCTATCACTAATTTATCCAACTCAGTGTTTAGACTACATAATTGAATTCTTCTCAATCAATTTACAGGTGTGTATAACATATTTATAGTGACTGAAACATTTTAAATGATGCATGCTTAGTTTATGAATATACCTCAAAATGTAATAAATTTTTATTTTTTAGCATTTTTTATCTGGAGGCTTAAGTTTTTATCAGTTTAGTGTGTTCCTTTCAATTACACACCTGGAACTCAGTAAATATGAACGCATTTTAATCTCCCCTTTGGATATGTGTTTTATTCTTTAGATGCAACAATGAAGCGTAAAAAATAATCTCATCTCTGAACATATAAGCATCTGAAAGGCAATCGAGTTTGTAAAAATTGCAGATTTTTATTGTCTAGACATATTACAAATTTATCAATCTAAAATGCACTTACCATTACTTAAGTGAATCAATTGTAAAACTACATTTCAGAAGTGCCCTTAATGTAGAGAAAAACCACATTCAATGAGCTGTAGATGACCATTAAAGAGGGCATTTTTCCAAATACTCTCTATGACATTGTGTTCATGTTCCTTAATGCCTCTTCAAGGTAACTTATTTGTTTACTGTCACTTTAAATTGTTTTTTTTAAATAGTCAGAAGATACAGTACATTAGATTAACATGCAAGCACCCCCGCTAAGGTTTCGCATAATTTCTGTGCTACTAGTGACTCTGATTTCTGTTTTTATTTATATCCATAATGAGTTAAAATTGCAATTTCACCTTATTTCTAAGGTTTCTTATTTGGTGTTCACTTAATTAAAAGTATCATCGCTGCTGCTATAGTGATAGCAAAATATGAAGCTGTCTTGAAAACTTTGGTTAAAGGTCTTTATACATATAAAACCTGCATTTTGAGAAAACTTGCAATGAAGTTTTAATTCTAATAATTTGGTATTTCTTAGAAACAAAAATTAAGATATAGTATTTTTTTTCTTGTGACTAACTACCATGTGGCCCTTTGTGTGTACTATTGTATTAATATTAATAAAAGAATGCTATGTCTGGTTAAGTTTGATGGCTTAAAATATTAAGCATTGTGGTTTCCAAGTCTAAAGCATTTGATACTTGTACAACTAAGAATTGCAGAGAATGCTCAATTTCCCAAGTTTAGTTGTATAAAACCAGATTATTGACTGTGACAGCTCCACTCTATTAGATGGATCACATTTCTATATGGTAGACATCAGAATGGTGGGGGACTGTAGACTAGAATCCACAAATTGTACCAATCCTTGAAGATGTAGTAAAACATTTTAAAGGTATTATAATGCTAAAGCATGCTTTTTTTTTGCATTACTGTAGTCTGAAAAATAATTTGTTTTTGACTGATCACTTACTATATCAGATTAGAACAATTTTAGACCAAAATAATATTGATAAACCATTTAATCTTCTCTTTTTGTGTATATACATACACATGTCAGTTGAAAAGAAACTTAGCTAAACTTATAAAATAACCATTCAATTAAATTGAATTTTACTTGTATATCTTCTTTATTCCTGCCCTCTCTAATTTCTGCCCCATTTCCTGTCCTACTATCTGAGTCAAGTCACTTCTTATTTCTCCCAGAAAAACTTGTGCATAGTTTTATGAGAATTTCAACATTCTACATTGAAATTGACAGTTGTTTGTCTTTTCCTTTACTTTAAACAACTTGACAGAAGCTGTATATTTTTCATTAATCTTGTAATATTTTAATAACTCTATAAATACTTTTTAAGTTAATGAATAACAGTAGTGTATGTAAAGTTACAGCTGAAGTGTCAGTTGGCCTGAAAGTCTTCAGCCAAGTTTAAACACTTGTGGCTTTAACTTGGTGAGAGTCTGATGTACAAGAAATATTTCAGTTGATTAAAAAGGGAGATAATTTAGAATATTTGGCATCATATTGCATATTTAAATTAATGATGAGGGAACAATCAGATGGATACTGATTGGCTCATGTAGGTCAGCTTTACAGTTTTCATTCCTATGGTTTTGACCCAAGTCCAGAAAGATGTTTTGAAAGATTATATGGATAATTTCATCATTTACATTTATTTTCCTGGTTAGTCAAGCATAATGATATATCGTAAGAGTAGACCAATTAATTTTATATTGCTCATTTTTTATATTTTGGATAGCAGATCAATATAAGAATAGATTTACAAAAGAAATTATTAGGCTATTATGGCAATGGTCATAAAACAATTAGATATTATTAAATAAGTCATAATCATATATGCTTTATTGTTTGATATTTCATTATTTAAAATTATGGTTCGTGAAATGAAATATGACTTTAACTCATTTTTCATGATGTAACAACCATTTCACTCCATGATATTTAATCTTATGAATAGTAGTGTCTCCTTGTTAGAGAAAAAGATACTACAAAATGTAGATTTGAACTAGGATATTTTTCCAAATTCAATTCAATCAAGTTTGATTTAAAATAATTTAGTTTAGCAAATTTTTACTGAAAACTTAACATTATCTTTGGCATTGTTCTCTACACAGAGTACCTCTTAGTCCAGGCTTACTATTCAGAAGCATTTCTAAACCTTATTACTATCACTGAAAGATTTGTTTGCAGTATCCTAGCAATCTTATTATTGCTATAACAAAACTAAATGTATTTATTTACAAACATATCACTTTACTATTTGTAGTAAAACAACACTAAATAGCAGTAAGCTTTTTAGTGTGTAAAATTATCTATAAGATTTTGTAGGTAGAAAATAGAGGGTGACCTCACAAGCTCCTCCAGAAATGGTCTTAATGAATTTACTCACACTCTGTAAACCTCTCAGATATGTTTTCTTATTTACACTTACGTTGTAAAAGTTCTAGGGCTTTTTTCCTAATCATTAAATTTCAATGCTACATATAACAAAGAGATATTTAACAAATCTGAGTTTCATTAAGAATAAACATTTTGAATAATTAAATGAGAATATTTCTGAAAGCTCACTTTAGATTTATATGTCTCCCAAAGGATATAAAGAAACAAATCCATATGAACTCAAGTTACCTTAATGGAATGTGTCTTATTAACTTATTTTTATTTTATTATTTCTTTTACAGACAGGGTCTCATTCTGACACCCAGGCTGGAATGCTATGGTGTAATCATGGCTCACTGCAGCCTTGAACTCTGGGAATGAAGGTATCTTTTCACCTCAGCCTACACACTACCTTGGACTACAGGCATGCACCACCACATTCAGCTAATTTTATAGATTTTTTTGGTAGAGATAGGGCTTCACTATGTTGCCCAGGCTGGTCTAAAACTCCTGGCCTCAAGCAATCCTCCTACTTAGGCCTCCCAAAGTGCTTGGAATATAGACATGAGCTGCTGTGCCCAACATGTTTTATTAATTTAAAATACTATGTTCAATCAAGTCTTAATGATATAATTAAGAATGAGCTATGTCTATATGAGGGGAGAATATAACATTTTTTGATTTTCAATAATTTTCATCCAAGAAACTCAAGGAAATCAAAGAACTCAAAATAATTCTTTAAAGAAGGTCAGCAAACTACAAGAAAATACACAGAAACAATCCAATTAAATCAGGAAAATGACAAATTGCCAAAATAAGAAATAAAATAAAGAGATTGACATTACTAAAGAAAAATTAAACAGAAATTCTGAAATTGAAAAGTACAATGAATTAAATAAAAAAAATTAAAGGGCATCAATAGCAAAGTTGACCAGGAAGAAGATTCTGTGAACTTGGAGACAGATTATTTGAAAACATACAGTCAGAGGATTAAAAAACGGTGAAAAGGCATAAAGAACCTTATGAGATTTATGGAACTGGATCAAAAGAGAAGATATCCAAATTATAGGAGCTGAAGGAGAAGGAGAGATAAAGGAAAAAAAATTATGTTATGAAATACTAGCAGAAAACTCCCAAGTCTGCAGAAAATTATAAATTTCCAGGTACAGGAAGGTCAAAGGTCTCCAGTGTAATCCAAATTACAGTACATCAAAATATAATCAAACAGTCAAAAACCAAAGACAAATAAAGGATCCTGAAGGAGCAAGAGAAAAATAGAAAATGAAATATAAGGAAGTTCTGATAAGGTGAGCATCAGATTTCTCAGCAGAAATTTCTTGGTGCAATCATGGAAGGTCAAAGGTCTCCAGTCAGATTAAATTTAAATTAAACTACACTAAATTTTGTTGTTTTGAAGGTTTGTCAAAAAATTAAAAATAGAACTACCTTATGATCCAGCAGTCTCACTACTGGATATATATCCAAGAGAAAAACAAAACAGTGTGTCAAAGAGATATCTGTACTCTCATGCTCATGGAAGCATTTATTCACAGAGGCCAAGATATAAAATAAGCCTAAGTGTCCATCAACAGGTTAATGGATAAATGAAATGTAGTATAAATAATGTATGGATGCACATAATACAATTAATGAAATGAAAAATGAAATAAAGAACATCAATGGCAAAATTGATCAAGAGGAAGATTCTGTAAACTGAGAGACAGATTATTTAAAAAACATGCAATCAGAGGAGAACAAAGAGGGTGAAAAATGATAAAGAAGTTTATGGAATTTATTGAACAGCATCAAAAGAACAAATATCCAAATTAGAAGCATTCAACAAAAAGAAGGAATAGTATTCCTATTCAGTTCTAAAATAAAATACTCTTCAGCTTTAAAAAAGAAGAAAATCCTGTTATTTACAACAACATGGATGAATCCAGAATACATTATGTTAAATGAAAGAAGACACAGAAAGGCAAATACTGCATTATCTCACTTTCATGTAGAATCTGAAAGAGTTGACCTCATAGAAGTAGAGAGTGGCAGGGGCAGGGGTTGGGAGTGTTGGTCAAAGGATCCAAAATTTTAGTTAAGAAGAACAAGTTGAAGAGATATATTGCATAAAATAGCAACTGGAGTTATTATCAATGTATTGTATTTTAAAAAACTGCTGAGAGGATTTTTAAGTGTTTGTACTACAAAAAATAAGTATGTGAGATAATGTATATATCAACTGGCTCTATTGAGCCATTCTACACTGTTCATATATTTCAACACATTATGTTGTACATGACAATTATATACATTTTTAATTTGTCAATTGAAAATAAGTTAATTTTCAAAAGATACTAAACAAAATCAACTGCAAAACAAAATTTTTGAAAAAGAATCATAAAGTACCAAAACACAAAACAATTCAAAGATTTACATAGCTTTTTAATGGGAACAATAATTTTCTCACAATGAAAACTAACACCTTAGATATTACATGGGGGAAAAACATTCCTCATGCACTATATGTGATATATTACAAATAATAATACATGGAAAAATTTTGGGGACAATATAAAGACATCTCTATTTTATACATGTTATTATATATAAAATAAGACAAATAAAAAACAATAATTGTGATGGGAAGACTAAATAATTTAATGATATTATATTTTATGTATAATGCAGCTCCATACCAAACCTTTGCAGTAGAATTAACACGTTCATGTACTTAACTTAATGATGGTAAAATACTGTTGGATAATAAACAAGAAAATATTTAATACTTTTCAAAAATGAGAATAATTCTAACAATGTGAATTAAAAGATTGGTAAACAAAGGTTGATATTGGTACAGTAGATATTTCAGTAGAAGTGAATATGAGTTTGTATAATATAGTATTTGATAAAAAGTGGCATTAGTTCCAATTGAGGACCTAAAGGAAATAAATTTAGACAACTAGTATTACCTGCCATGTGAACTGGGGTTTATTGTGTAATAATGAGGAAAAAAGCACCATCATTCTTTCTGCAGAACCAAGTAGTGAAAAACATGACGATATTTGAGATATCCCCTTTCAAAACAAAATAAGTCTAATACATGTATAGAATAATGCACTTGGAACAATTTTATTAACATGAAGGAAAACTAACTTGTTTAATAAAATTGCTATTTTCTATAATCATACAGCTGCAGAATGGTGTCAATATACATAAATATACCCTAAATTAAATGTGTGCTTCTAATCATATGTGGATCAGTCAATAAAATATAACAGATATACAAGCAAAATGTTTGCTATGTATTTGGTTGTGAAGGATAAATAAGATTTTGGTTACATATTTAGTTTCTTAATACTAGGAAAAGTGATACTTAGCATAATTTTACTGATATACCCTGTTAAAATTTCCCTATGATTTACTATCTCCAAATTTCTTGTTCAATCCTGGAGTTCTACAATGATCGTTGTGATAGAAGATACTATACCACTTCTTTTTTTTTTAAATAAGGATGACTAGGGATATTGGATGCCAGTTCTCCTCAGAGAGAAGATCAAAGTGCAGGTGAATGGTCATGATCTGAGTGGAAGGCTGAAGGAAGAGGTCCAGGACCTGTTGGACAGCCCATGGAAAGAAGCTGGAGGACAGAAAAGGAAAGCAGCAAGAGTCTAGCAGGGATGGACCACTGAGGAACTCAGAGTCCCGTGGAAAGGGTAGGTGGCGGTATTTCTCTGTGTGCTCCCCGCACCCCTGTGACAATCTACTGACTGCCAAATTGTTTGGGAGCCCCTCTACCCTTATGTTCCCAGGTAAACCTTTTGGTGACAATTTGGGAACTTCTCAGGGATAGAGCACCAAGTGGCCAGCTCCTGAAGGTGTGCTGGCGCTCCCCTCAGGCCTGAACTGAGATGGTGGGCACTATACTGACTCTGCACCCATTGTGGGTGAGTGCCTTACCTGGGAAACCTCAGCCCTTGTTTTGCTGCATCATCAGACACACCATAAACACACCCTAGAACCTGCTCTGACTTTGGCAACCATGGGGCATTAGTGGGTCTCTGGGGAGCGGCAGAATCCCTGGAGATCTAGTGGCAGAATCTCTGGGCAGCCTCAACACGGGCTGCTTCCAAGGGAGTGGGTAGCACAACCTGCCAAAGCCTCTCTTGGGACAAAAGAAACATGGGCACGGCATCAATAGCTGAAGGGGGTGTAACAAATGGCCAGAAATGAATACTGAGGGGAGGTTCTCTCCCACTCCTCCCAACCACTGTCGCAGACACAACAGAGACTTTACTTGCTGGAGGCTGACACGAGTGCATTTTTACTTGTGAGACAGCCTTTTCAGCACTTTTTGTGCCGGCTGCGCCCCCATTGAAAGTTAGCCCGTGCTGCATGGGCTTGCATGAAGGGTGGACCCATTTCCCCGACCTATATAGAGCAGCAGTGTCTGGGCAATGGAGAGCAGAGAAACCGCACAGCTGTCTGCTCTGGAATGGAGGAAGAGGCTCTGCATTGAGCCCATTTTGTGGGTAGCCACCAGAGGAGGATTTCGGGGGACCTCAGTTGCACTGCAGCTGGTAGCCAAAGGACAATGTCAATATTAATCAAAGGTCGCAAGCCCTGTAACAGGAGTTTGATGGGGAAGAAGATCGCATTCCTCTCTGGCCAGAACAAGGACCTGGTGCATCCACCCTCACACCGCCTCTTCCTCACCCAACCCGTGGGACCTCAGTGTATCCCAACACAATCTCACCCTGCTATCTCTCCTCAACCTCCATCAGGGCAGGTGCTTCCGTGCATTATTGGGCTGCCCCAGGGCAAGCTGGCGCTTACTCTTTTACGCCACCTACTGGAAGGTAGACTGAACTGCACCACCGAATAAGAAACCTTTCAAGCATAGGCTGGCGCACAAGATCAGCTTCCTGAGACTTTCGCACTCTCAGCCCTGTAGAAAACAGTGTGTCAGATCATATATCTAATCTTTTGCTACAACAAGCGGCATTTAAGAAAGCCACGGCACAAAAGCTATCCATAACTAAGGAACCCATACAGAACCCTGGCCTTCTGAAAATACCCAGAAACAAAGCCAAACAATCGTACACAACATACACTACAATCATATGCTCAAGGAAAAAACAAATAAACGAAAGTCTCATCCAAACAATAGCAAATTCAAAAATACTAAGCAAGAGCTTTTTTAGATGAGAAGGAATCAATGCAGTAACTCTGGAAGAACAAAGAGTCAGGGTGTTTTGACACCTCCAAAAGATTGCATCAGCTTTCTAGCAATGGATTCTAACCAAAATGAAAATTCTTAAATGACAGATAAAGAATTCAATATATAGATTGCAAAGAAGTTCAATGAGATGCAACAGAAAGTTAAAAGCCAACACACACACAAAAAAACAGAAAAAATGATTCAGGATATCAAAGATTAAATAGTTTATAGCTTTATACATATAAAACAACATATATAAAAAACACTTCTGAAATTACATATACTTTATAATTATTATATATAATAATTATTGAATATTACAGTTTTAAATTATATATAATTGAAAAAATTATTATATATAATATGCATATTGAAAGAAACTAAATATTATTATTGTATATATTATGATATATGTATATTGAAAGAACTGAATGAAATTAGAACTAATAAAATCATAGATAGAATTAACAAAACAAAAAGTTGGCTTTTTTGAAAGGATAAAATTGATAGACTGCTTACTAGATTAACCAATAAAAAAGAGAAGATTCAAATAAGGACAATCAGAATTTATAAAGGTGGCATTAGAACTGACACCACAGAAATACAAAAGATCACTATAGACCTCTATGGAGATCTCTAAGTACACAAACTAGAAAACCTAGAGGAAATGAATTCCTTGAAACATATAATCTTCCAATGTTGAACCAGAAGAAAACTTGAAATTCTCTACAAATAACATGTTATGAAATTAAATCAGTAATAAAAATAACTACTAACCAAAAAAGCTCAGAACCAGATGAATTAACAGCCAAATTCTGCCTGACATACAAAGAGCTGGTACCAATCTTTCTGAAACTATTCCAAAATATTGATGAGGAAGGATTCCTCTCTAATTCATTTTATGAAGCCAGTATCATCCTGATACCCAAATCTGGCAAGGACACAACAACAATAACAAAAAAACACAGGCCAATATTCCTGATGAATGTAGATGCAAAAATACTCACCAAAATACTAGCAAACCAAATCCAACAGCACAGCAAAAAGATAAGTTATTACAATCAAGTAGGTTTTATTCTAGGGATGCAAGTTTGGTTCAACATACGTAAATCAGTAAATGTGATTCACCACATAAACATAAATTAAAACAGAAACCATGTGATCATCTCAGTAGAAGCAGAAACAGCATTTAGTAAAATCCAGCATCCTTTTCTGATAAAATCCCTCAACAAACTAGGCATTGAAGGAATATACCTAAAAATAATAAGAGCTGTCTATGATAAACCCACAGCCAACATGATACCGAATGGGGAAAAGTTGAAAACGTTCCTGATAAGAACTGAAAAAAGACAAACATATCCACTGTCACTACTCCTATTCAACATAATACTAGAAGTCTTAGATAGAACAATCAGGGAAGGGAAATAAAAAGCACCCAAACTGGGACAGAAAGAATCATATTAACTCTGTTACAGATGACATGATCTTATACCAAGAAAATCCTAAAGATTCCTTGAGAAGATTCCTAGACTGGATAAACAACTGCAGTACATTTTCGGAATGCAAAATTAGTGTTCAAAAATCTGTTGCATTTCTCTAAGTTGACAAGGCAGAAGCTGAGAAACAAATCAAGACCTCAATCCCATTTACAATAACTACACACACACACACACACACACACACAAACATAGGAATACATTTAACTAAGCAGGTGAAAGATTTCTGCAAGGAGAGCTAAAAAACTGATGAAAGAAACCATGGATGATAGAAACTAATGGAAAAAAAATCCCATGATCATAGATAGGAGGAATCAATATTATTAAAATGACTATATTGTTCAAAGCATTCTACAATTCAATGTAATTCCTATCAAATTACCAGCACCATTTTTCTCTGATTTAGAAAAAACAATTCTAAAATTCATATGGAATTGAAAAAGAGCCTGAATATCCAAAGCAATCCTAAGCAGAAAGAACAAAGCCAGAGGCATCACATTACTTGACTTCAAATTATATTACAAGTCGAAAGTAACCAAAACAGCATGGTACTGTTACAAAAATAGACACATAGATCAATGGAACAGAATAAAAAATCCCAAATAAAAGCCACATATCTACAACCAACTGATCTTAGACAAAGTCAATAAAAGTGAATAATGAAGATGGGACCCCCTATTCAATAAATGGTGCTGGAAAAATTGGCTAGCCATATGCAGAAGAAGGAAGCTAGACCTTTATCTCTTACCATATATAAATAATTAACTCAAGATAAATTACAGTTTTAAATGTAAGACCTGAAACCTAAAACTTCTAGAAGCAGACCTAAGAAAATCTCTTCCAGATATTGGCCTAGGCAAATAACTTATGACTAAGACCTCAAAAGCAAATGCAACAAAAATAAAAATAGACCAATGTGACTTAATTAAAATAAAGAACTTCTGCACAGCAAAAGAAACTATTGGCAGAGTAAACCGACAATCTATAGAATGGGAAAATATATTAGCAAATTATGCATCTGACAAAAGACTAATATCCAGAATCTATAAAGAACTTCAACAGATCAACAACGAAAAAAATCCCACAAATAATCCCATTAAAAATGGGCAAAGTATATGAACAGACACTTATCAAAAGAAGACATACAAGTGGCCAAAAAACATAAAAATTGTTCAACAACAATTGCTCAAACTAATTTACTTTCTTATTTGTTTATAAGTGTTTTTAAAACATTAAAGAAGAAAACAGAATTTTTTGTAGCTTTTCAATTGTATCTTTTACTTGTTTTATTTTTATATATAATTCTTTTAAATTAAATTATTGATTGATAGATTATTACTTGTTAAATCACGTATGGAAAATAACTATCACCAATACCAACTAAAATAAATGTCATTTGTTTAATCATGTAAATGCTATGTTTAAACTTTTATCTATCTCTTTTTACTTGTTTTACCATTGAATTTAATGATTTGGATTCTTTCTTTTTTCTCATCTGAATCTGAAACCCGAGCTATGCAGCAGAACTCTAGCCTTTGGGAAAATTGGTTACCATCAGTGTGACTGAGAGTAGCTTCCAGGTCACCAATCCAGTCCTCTTTAGTTTCCTCCTAGAAAGACAATTAACAAACAAAATAACCGCCTTCTAAAATTTAACAACAAAAAATTTAACGACTGAAAAATAAAGCATCTTATTTTGCAACCCTCTTCTGTTTCTTTCCTCGGGCTCTTTGAGATATGAGGAGCATCTCTTGTCTTCCTGGGTTCTGCTTCTCCTCCAGGGTTCTGCTTCTCCTCCAGGGTTCCTAATCCTTAAAAATCCTCCACTTGTTCTGGCTGGTCATGCCTCAGGGCCTCCTCTGACTATGTCGTGAATAATTAGGCTGACTTCTGGGACTTTCCTTGTGTTTTTCTTGGCTTAATCATGATACAAGCTTTCTATAACCAGTACCTAAATGCAGTCTTTTAACATGGCCCACATGACCACCGTTTTCCTATGCTGTTTCTTGCTGAATCCAATACAGCTTTTCTTACTTGGTTTCTCTGTGAATCCTGGCTTTCTGTAATTCTGGTGGGATATATCCTAGAAGTTTCTGCCTTTAAAAAATGTTGTAAAGGGAAATTGGAAACAATACAATTGGCACCCTTATTGGAACAGTGAAGAGGTCTGCAATAAATCTGTAGAACTTATTGCTGCAGCTTTGAAGCTTTGAAACAGGCCAATTTACTTTCCTTTCTGCAGGGTCTAATTCATTAGACTCCCACTATAAAAGTTTTATTGGAGAAGTTGAATCATAAAGTCAACCAGAAAGAAAGGATTTGGTGATAAGTGGTATAAGTGTCATAATGCAAAGAATAAAATGCTACGCACAAAATAAAAGCATTTATTTACTGCTTTTAGAAGTGAAACAGCTTGAAAAAGACAAGACTGCATTCCCAGTGATGATAAATTTCTGTTTCGCAAACTTTACAATGGTTTGGCAAAGTGGCAGGCCTGCTGTATTGGAGACATGATTACTATATCTGTACCACTATAACACACACATACATACACACACACACACACACATATATAAGCATACATTTTTGTGTGAATGTGCATATATGTGTGTATGTATTTCATATACATATATATAGACATATTATATATATACACTATATATAATATATGTATGTTCTAACTAGGGCAGAAGACTTGATTTGGAAATCAAGAAATTGCTCCCTCTTTTCTAGTGGGGTAGATATAAATCTCCTCCCCACATGCTTCTTACTTAGCAGATAGGTTTGATTAAGATGACTATCTGAATTATAAATAAATGAATACTTCTAAAAAATAAAGGTAAAACCAATAAATTGGTTTGTTGGTTGACAAATGGATAATCAACCAACCAATCAAATATTAGTTATAATATCCTGTCAATGGTTATACTCTCTCTCTGTCTTTTATTTTATACTAAATATCATATTCTTTAGAACTGGAAAGGAACAAAAGGCTAGGATTTTAGACTTTTTTGATGATTTTCTGGAAAACTCCAATTATGTCTATTCTTGAAGACTTAAAAATATGTGGTTACTTCTCCAAGCATCTCATTCCAATACCCTATTTACTAGAAAATATTTTCCTATTAAAGTATTTTAATAGGAAACACTAAATATTTTTTCTATTTCCTATTAAAAGAAAATTTGCCTTTCTATAACTTCTGTTCTTTTATGCAGCAGGTTCTTGATATCAATATGTTCTCAAAACCTATTCTTCACTTGCTATGACTTCATTTCCCTTGTCTACACACAAACTTTTGTTAAAAAACAGTTCAATTTTTTTCATGTGCTCCTCATTTGTTACGGTTTCCTGATCCTTCACCATCCTGTTTTTTTTTAAATTCATCTTTTTATTAATATCTGTTGAGAGCCTAATATAATGTGCCAGAGAGCTCCAGGCATAGGAAAAGCAGCAGGGAATAGAAGAGAGTCCTTTTCTCATGGAGTTGATAAGATAGAGGAAGCATAAAAATAATCAAGAAAACCCTCATATGTCAGTTGTTGGTAAGTGGTAGGGAGAAGAATTAAGCAAGAAGAGTAGATGAAAGTATAATGATGCAGGAGTCTGGGAAGACCTGCCTGACAAGGTGATATTTAAACAAAGACTTGAAGGAAGAGAGAGGATGAGCGATGCATATATCTAGGGAAACTTTGTTTATGCATAGAACAGAGAATGTGAAGGCTCTGGGATAGAGCCTGCTTAGCATGTTCAGAGAAATCTAAGGATGCTGGTGTTGACTGAAGATGGTCAGTTGAGGGGGAAGTGATAGGAAAATTGGTCAAAGAATTTCTCTGGTTGTTATGGAAACTAGTCTGTAGGACCTCAAGTTTTAAGTAGAAAAAGCTATTAGTTTATTTTGAAAAAGATGGTGGGGTCTTGAATTAGCATAGCAGAGTTGGAGATGACAGGAATTTCTTAGAGTCTGAGTAGTCTTGGAGATAAAGCTGACAGGATTTGTCAATAGACGAAGGTTGTGGGAAGAAAGAGATCATGGCTGACTGAAGTTTTTAGCCTGGACAAATGGACTTGTTCTTTCTGGAAATGAGTAATCCAGTTGTCTTAGTTCAGAAAAGTACTAAAGTTGGGCTATAATTCTTTAACACCTTACTCTTTCATAGTGTAAACTTCACCCAAGAATTTTTTATGTCCTAGGTGTGATCTGTTCAGTACAAAATAAAGCAATCTTTTTTATGATGATTTATTGTTATTTTTTCTCATGATCTAGATGCACTGTTATTAGTGGACAGTGATATTGCATCATCGTTTATGGATGTCTACTATTTTTCATGTTGAGTTTACCTTTAAACTAAATCTTGGTCTCATTTTCAACCCCAATCTGTGGGGCAGCAGATAGATAGCTGTTTATCAAATATGTATGCCATTCTTCTTTTCAAACAGCTCTACTACAGTTCTCAGCCTCTGTTGTAGTGAAGAGTAGCCAAATGACTGAATTCTAGACAATGGAACATGGGCAGAAGTGATGAACATGACTTCAAAGCTTACCTTTCAAAAATCTTTCACTCAGAAAGCCTCCACTCTTTTCTCTCCATAAGGCTTTCTCATTGACACAAGATAATCCAGGAAGATTTTCAAGGCAGATTCTCTGTGTAGAGGAAAACGGTTCTCTCTTCCACTATTTGGAGTATATGTGAAAGAAAAAAAAATGATCTTTTGAAAAATGATACTGCTAAGAATTTGGTATTAATCCATTACAGCAGCTAGTAGCACCTTAACTAATTTGAAAATTGGTAGCTTAAGAAGGGATGTTATAAACAAAGGTTAATATTTGCAACATTTCCCAGCAGTGGGAGTGGCTGCTAATGAGAACACCGAAATGAGAGATTGGATATTTGTGGCAAAACATTGGTGAAATTGTCATTTATGATAACTTGAAAAACAGACCAAATGCCTCCAAGATTGTATTTCTATGGAGAAAGCTACAGGATAGGATGTTTTTTATTTGTAATAGAAGATATTAGAAGAAAGAGATGGGCTCGCCCAAGAATTAGTTGATTTTGCAGGCAAATATAAAATGAAATAAATACTCCAGATATCTGAGGCCTCAAAAGTTTGAAAAATCTGAATTCTCCTAAACCTCAATGATACAATATTGAGAGAAGACTTTAGTTTAAAGGCCTCATTAAGATTCAGCCTTTTGAAAAGAGTAAAATTGAATATTACTTTTACATTTAAGCCTGGTGCCTCTGAAGGCTGCCATTAAATTGAGGAAGGAAGAGAGCTCCAGAGACAGAGAGAGGGAGTAACACAGAGAGAAGGAATGACTGGTGCAAGAAAATGATGGAAAAAAGCAGATACAAGAACCAGGGTTTGGAAGATGATGACTGGCCCACAGAACTAGTGGAGGCAACTAGATTAGATACCTACTAAGTTTTTGAGGTAAGTGTAGTGGCAAAGAAATCATAAGTCCAGATTATAAGGGAAAATGCTCCTAGAGGATAGAGATGGTCATCACTAGCAGCTCTAAATCACCAAACTCCAGATCACCAAATGATCAAGGGAACTCCTTTCAGAGAGCAAAACCAGCTCTAATAAACAAAACAAGTTTCCACTGCAGGCATCCCCTGCCTTGCCAGCAGAAACACATAATAATTACTGTCTATTAACAACCGTGTGTTACCTAGTCTTCCAATTTCCAAATGGGAATGTCTACTGTGGTTATCGTGCCCCTGGTCCACCATTGTATACCTGAGAGAAGATGATCTGCCCATGGATTGCTAGCCCACAAAAAGCCATACCTGGACCTGATGAAGAGGCTGACGTATAACTCAAAGATTTTCTACGTTGAGCTGAATGAAGTGGACAGACAGGATTTTGTGCTGTTTTCCTTGAGGAAGGGATGAATGTGTTCTATGTGTGGAAGAATGTAATGGATATTTGGTGACTAGAAGGGTGGACTAGGACAGAGAATGTCTAGCTATTTATCAAACCTATTTCCTTTTCCTTTTGGCATACAGCTAGACTACATTTCCCAACCTCCCTTCAGTAAAGTCTGCCTTATAATCAAATTCTGGTCAATGTTGTGTGTTTTAGAGTGCCATGAATCATTCTGAGGTCCATAAAATACTCCCACTTTCTGATTCCCACTTTCCATGTCTTGCAGGCTGGTCAAAGTCTAGAGTGACAGTGAAAGCTACATTTGCGTTTGAGGACAACAGAGCCTAGAGCAGCTTGATTTTCTAAATAACAACATGGAGCAAAATTTCCTCCCTTGCCCATTCCTCTTCCTTACTGATTAGATTTTTATGTGAGTGAAAAATAAACTTTGATTGTGTCAGGCTATAGCTTTAAAAATTTATCTTTTATAAAGGATACTAGTTTGAAAAATCTTTACTAAAACTATAGTACTTGGTTAGTTGGGTTTTTGAACCTAAGACAAATTATTTATGCTGAATCCAGATCATAACATTGCCTGAGATTTATATATCTTCCAATATTTTCCATATACAATTTTCTTAACGATAAATTTCAGATCAGGGCCCATAAACCCTAATGCCTTCAGCATCTAGACAGTTATAAATGGAAAATAGAAGGCAGTACATCCCAGGGAACTAGAGAGAACATGCCCTACCTAAAAGCAATACAGTAATTTAAAAAACCTACTGGCTAGTGTACTCCAAAGACTGCAATATTGGGACCTTTGATTTGGTTCTTTATTTGAATATTTTAATAAAAATTTTCTTGCACAAAACTGAAGAGTAAGCCACTCAAATTTTCTTTTTAGACAAACATTTATTCATTAACCATATTCTTTGAGTATGCTATTTCAACTGTTTGCCAGTTTACTGAACTTCATTAGTTTGTGGTTCATATTTCTCTTACTCATTTATAAAGATATCAAGAGAAACATTGGCTCATGGCTGCTGAAATCCAGAAAGATGATTTACTTACATCTACATATTTGGGGCTTCAAATGTTTGAAATATCTGAAGGCCATCAACATATGAATCACATAAAGAATTTGGACATTCTGTCTCATCTCGATTTATTCACTCAGATTTCAGGGGAGATGGAACTGTGAATCCAGATTCTTGACCAGCTCCATAAGCAATTCTTACGATTTAGTTCCTCTGATTTATTGTATTTTTCTAATCTAGAATTCTAGCATGTAAAATTAGATAATGTTTACTATAAAATGACTGCGTCTTTAAATTAAAAGTTGCCAATCTCTTTTTTTGTAAAAGATCCCACAGTGAGTATTTAGGCTTTGCAGCCTACCCACAGTTTCTGACTCATATTCTTCTTATTTTGAATATTTTTAACATTCGTTTAAAAATATAAGTCTATTAGTTCATGAATTGTATGTATAAAAAGAGGCTCTGGCCCATGGGCCATGGTTTGCTGGTATGAATTCTCTTCAAGATGTCTATGTACCTTTCTTTAAATGAATGGTTCCTAACTTGTACTCCGTGAAATTGTACCCCTGAAGGATGTATAAGCCAACAATTCTCATTCAAATTATTGGTGGAAGTACTGTACATTATTTCATCCTTATGGAGATTTGCCAAGTAAATCAACATAGTAAATGTTCATATATAAAGATTAGAGTTGTCTGGCCAATTAGCTCCATTTTTAGCAGTACTTTTTGAATATAGAATCCTTTTCTTTCTCCACAAAGTTCTCATTAATGTCTTTAAAATTTAATGTTAAATCATATGTGTTGAAGAACAGTTGAAGAATTTTAGTGTCTGTAAAATACTTTTGGGAAATTTCAAACACTCTTTTCCAGGATCTTAAAATCTTGCCCATGAGTAAATATTGTTAAGTTTAATAGTTTATAGTATACAGAAGATACTTTTTAAAATCCACTTTCAAAAATAAGTTGATATTTTTAAATCTCTGGTTTTAAAAAACTTTTTTCTTGTCCATTACTCCTCAGTAATAGCACCTAAACAGATTTATGCTGTTCTTTTTCCATATAATGATCTACATTGCAGGTTTTCTCAATGGTCCGTCCTTTATAGGCAACTTTAATTTAGTAACAGTTCAGTTTTCTATTTAATTTCTTCAGTAATTCACCTTAAACTTTGGGTTCACTTATTGGTACTCTATCTTTAAGCTCTTATTCTCAGTGTTTACTCAGGAAAAAATGAGATTCAGAATTCCATAATTTGGTCAACCATGTAAAAATAGTTGACAGAATTAAAATTTTAAAATACTTATATATCACAGGTAATCATCTTGTTATTGCCTTGTTATTATCTATAACTATCTTGTGGTTATAGAATCTTACATTTTTAAATATACTTAATCTTATATATATTTAATTTTATATGAAGCCAACACATTTGGAACATATTTTTAAAAACATGTATTTTGTGTCTATAAACAGAAATGCAAAAAGTAAATAACTACAGCGAACACTTTTAAAGTAGTTGCTATGTGGTAGCTACTGTTCTAGGTGCTTTTATGTATTTTAACTCATATAATCCTCACAATAGCCCCAAGGGATAGGTGCTATTATTGTTTGCAATGTAAAGATACAGAAATAGTAACACAGTGAGGGTAAGCAATGTGCCTGAGACACACCACATATTTAGTAAATGGTAATGTCAGAATTGGAACTGTCACTCTGGCTTCAGAAGTCCATACACTGTGTTATGTTGCACTCTGCTTCTTCCAGTTGAAAGCATTTTAAATAATTTGAAGGACCTTGTTGTTGAAATCGCAGGGGCTTGATACGAGTTGGTTCATTTCAGAGACTAGCACAAAAACTGATAAATCCTTGCATTATTTATTTTGATTGAAGGTAGTTGAGAATTCTGTGTTTGTATGTGTATCACCTGTGACAAAGGCACTATAACTTTTGTTATCTAAGTCTATTGCCTTATTTCTTTTAGCTTTGCCATGCTGCTGAAATGGGATCCAAGTGGCCTCAGAGTCTCATCTACAGGGAACATTACCAATCTCTTCAAGACATAATTACAGGCTTACATATGCTTAATTTAATTAACAGGTTAAAGACTTCTGTGTAAAAACTCTGTGATTTCCAGGCAACATTCTGGAAGCAGCAAGAGAGAATTACAATTGATCTGGACTTGAGAGTTTCATGTATAGACTGCTCTCTGGAGGTACAGAGAGAAAAGCAAGTCTACAGCTTCACTCTGTAGAGTGAAGAGAGCTTATTTTAGATAACCCAGACAAAGCAAAGTCTGTACATTTTTCATCTCAAATGCCAAGTGGGTTACTACAAGCCCATCACCCTCAACACTCCCCACCACATACTGCTCTATCTTTGACTTGTGATCTATTCTCATCAGCAAACAAGATGGGAGAAAAATAAAAATACATTCAAGGTAAGATTTGCTCCCCTGACACACCCTCATTTGGATATATATGTGTCCTGGTTCATGTACCAAGATGCCACCTCTTGCTCTGGGTCAAAAGAAGTTGATGTTTCTTCCTGCTTTTCTGAAAACATTGCTGATAATTGTACAACTCATAGTAATTTTTCTCTCCTACACCAACACATGTGATCTGGAAATGGCCATCAGGGGTCATAGGAATGCAGTCATGATTCTTTTGTATTCTTGTGCATTGGTTCCTGGTTTCTCGTTTCTGCTGTGTATCCTTACTGTGTTGCTAGTGTTGTATTGTTGGCATATTATTAAGATTTCTGAAAAGACTTATGAAATTTAAGGATATGAGAATGGAGCCTTAAATAATTCAGAATATTCTAGAAATAATCTTGTTTACATAGATACATCTGATTATGTGGGGATATTTTAATTCCACTTGAATTCAAATGAAAAAGTGCCATAGCTTTCTGGCATAACAATTTCACCTATCCTTTTTCTTGGCAGGGTTTACACAGACATTTTAAACATATCATTAAACAATTAGCATTATTCTCTTTGTCAGTAGAAAAAAATATATAAAACTCAAGAGCCTCAATAGTCAAATGCTAAGACAGTGATCTTTCATTCCCTTCAATAAGTTGAACTCTTTTTAATTCTAAGGCATGCACTGTCACCACACTAATTGCATTGTAGATAGCTCTTAGCTTTGCTCTGATTATTAACAAATATATTTGTAGGAAAAAAAATGCTGTGAGATCTTTAAATTAATACAAAAGAGCAATATCTGATGTAGTTAAATTTTTATGTGTTTAGAGTTGCTTAAATTTGTCTGTTTGGCAAAGTGGGAGCATGATCTTATTAAGCCAGAATAGGTGATTCAGATATACACACATAAAGACTCACAGAAAACAGTCAATACTCCTAAACCCAAACATCCTTGAAAGTGTATATTTTGAGCCTGTGAATGAGAGAATGACAGTAATTTTTTATGCTTAGAAATTGAATTTAATATCCCACCAGTGTAAAAATATAAGATCATTTAACACTCACTTTACTTATTTTGTGCCAGATACTGCGTTCTGCATGAGAGATCCAAAAATGAAAAGACAGTGCTCCTTTTTATAACTTACATTTTATCATATAGATAGACATGTAAAAAACTACGGTACAATATATGTTCAACAATAATGGTATAATGGAAGAATATCAAATCACCTTCTGGGATTATGGTTTAAATATATTATCATTAATACCCAAATATTGATGGCCTAATGCCAAGGGAACCGGGAGATTTCTGAAACTACTTTAAGCTGGAGATCCATGTGAAATCTTGTAAAGTTTAGAGGCTTGATATTTCTGTATTTTAGATACAAAGGAATAGGGGGGAAAAGGAAGTGGACTTTCACAGCTAGGTTGCTTGAGGTCCAGTGTTAATTATGTAAGTGAATCAGCAACTCCAGTTCATACAGGAAATTGATTGAGGAAGGGACAAATAAGTGTTCTAGGCAGCGTCACTTACAAAGGCCTGGAGATGTAAAAATTATAGTAATTGGAGAATTGCAAATGGTTTGTTGCTACTAGAATTTGGAATGTAATTTTTAAGAGATTGCAAAATAAAAAATAATAATAATAAAAAGAATAGTCTGGGCTGGGTGCGGTGGCTCACACCTGTAATCTCAGCACTTTGGGACGGCCAGGCAAGTGGATCATCTGAGGTCAGGAGTTCACTGCTACCAGCCTGGCCAACATGGTGAAACCTCGTCTCTACTAAAAATACAAAATATTAGCCAGGCGTGGTGGCAGGCGCCTGTAATCCCAGCTACTTGGGAGGCTGAGGCAGGAGAATCACTTGAGCCTGGGAGGCAGATGTTGTGGTGAGCCCAGATAGCACCATTGCACTCCAGCCTGGGCAACAAGAGCAAAACTCTGTCTCAAAAAAAAAAAAAAAAAAAAAAGAAAAAAAAAGAAAAGAAAAGAAGAAAGAAAAGACTAGTCTGGTATACAAGACCTTAGCTCATAAAACACTTCATAGAATAAGTTGTGGAGTTTTCAAACATTTTATTTGGAGGAAGATTTAGGGGTTTTTAAGGAAAGGAATGGTATAGTCCAATTTAGAAGCTGTGTAGACCATCCCATCAGTAGTGTGGTGTATGATTTAGAGAGAAGTGAAAGCTCCTGGCTGTACCAAAGGGAGATAATGATAGAATGAAAGAGTGTTGAGAAGTGTGATATGAGGCCAAAAATTAAGGCTCAATATCATCTGCTGCCTTGATATCTGGTAAAATCTGAAGGACCTTGAATGGCATATCCACAAGTTTCTCTTACCTCTCTGCTCCAGTGGATAAGGTTTTCTAGCTAAAAATCCTCCTGATTAAATGGACTCATTGCAGTTTCTGCTCATCCCTGAGTAGCGGGTTTTGGTTCCCTGACAATCTGCAGAGGAATTCAGACAAGCCCATCACATCTTCCTGTGGGAGCTAGCAGTGACCCCTCTCTATTGGTACTCCAAAACCTGCCTCCCATAGCCCCTGATTGTTCACTGTGTTCCTAAGTGCAAGCCCCATGGGGCTGCATGGCATGGGATGTCCTCCTCTCTGGGCTGTGTGTACAGTTGATCTCATCTGTCTTGTGTTGAGTGTTGTGTGTTCAGCCATTTTTTTATAACCCCAGGGTAGGAATCCCTCTCTCACCAATGGGGTGAAAAGAGGACCTCATAACAAGTACACGTGGAGAGTAGAGCTCAGAGCTGTTCTGTCTAGTAGCTTTTAGCCACATGTGACTATTAAATGCTTGAAATGTGGCAAGTCCTAATTTTTATGTGCCATAAGAGTATAATACAAACTGGATTTTGAAGACTATGAACACAATAATATAAATATCTCAGTAAACATCTTTATAATAATTGCAGGTTGGTATATTTTACATATGTTGTTGTTGAATAAAATATTAAAATAATTTTCATTTTTATAGTCTTCTAAAGTGGTTACTGGAAAACTAAAAATTATATACATGGCTTCCATTTGTGACTCATGTTATATTTGTACTCTGAGACTCTGGTTTAGTGAAATGGATTCAGGAAGAGATGCAGCATAACTTGGGTGTATGGAAGAGAGAGATTTCTAGAAAGGACTAAAATGTTGGTCTGGTTGGGTATAGTCATTAAAAAGACAAAAAGATAGAGGAGCAGAAACTTTACTTGCGTGATGATTTTGGATGTCCTCATTTGAGATGTCAGGCGGATATTTAGTTGAAGATGAACAGTGTAAGGTGGATACTAGGTCTGGAATTCCTGAGGAAGGTTGGTGCTGAAGATACAGATTTTGGAGTTGTTACTTCTGGCATCTAAAGTCATGGATAAAATTTCTAGAGCTAGAATGTAGAGCAAACTGAAAAGGTGGGTGGTACATATTAAAATACATAAAAGGGTTAAGTAAATTAGTACTGCTGAACACACTTGAGTGTTAATTAATTAACTAAAAGTTAATTAACCTTTAGTGGCTACCTACTATGTGCCAGGCTTTGGTGATATATGAGATTTTAGGCATTAGAAAAACAATAAAAGTTTTTGAATGGAAATTAATAACATATAAATATCTTATTTCAGGCATAAAATGTTGTGTATTTGCAGTTTTAAAAATGCAGAAAACAGGCTGGGCAGCTGTGGCTCATGCCTGTAACCCCAGCACTTTGGGAGGCTGAGGTGGGTGGATCACCTGAGGTCAGGAGTTTGAGACCAGCCTGGCTAACATGGTGAAACCCTGTCTCTACTAAAAGTACAAAAATTAGCCAGGGGTGGTGGCAGATGCCTATAATCCTAGCTATTCGGGAGGCTGAGGCACGAGAATCGCTTGAACCCAGGAGGCAGAGGTTGTAGTCAGCCAAGATGGCACAACCGCACTCCAGCCTGGGTGACAGAGTGAGACTGTCTCCAAAAAAAAAAAAAAATGCAGGAAACAACAGTGTTTGATATTAATAAATGTAATAGAAAATACATTTAAATATAATAAATAGTTTTTATTTGTGGCAAAATCTTTCTAGAAGAAGGTGACATTAGAGATAAAGACTTGTGGAGAATTCTGAAAAAGTTTCTTGTAATTTTATAGAACTAATTCTTTATTATATATGCTTTTATTATATATATGTCTCCATATGATACATATGCTGCCATTAAATTTTGTGACTTTGGTTTGAGGAAGTTGCAGCTCTAGATCTGATATTTTTGATAGAATATGTGTTACGTTGCAAAGAAATTTAAGAGAGCAATATAAAGAGAAGGTACAAGGGAGATATTCTGCTGAATAGACTGACAAAGGAATAGATAGGAGGAAAAGGAAAGAGACTTCAGTAGAATGGACTGAGACGGCACTACTTTGCTGTCAATGTTATCAGAAAAATAACAAGGAAAAGCACAAAATTTATTTTTTGATAGTGATGAGGAAGACAGTTTCCCATTTTGACCACATATAATTATATGTTTAAGATTTATATGTTTTATTTTAAAAGGAGTAGAAAAAACATATTCTTTTCGATAAATGAAGAGAGAATGATTCAAATTTTACATATTGTTGTAATTAACATGTTCCCACACAACTGCATCAGCATTGTGCTAAGTTATTTAAATGTATTTTCAATTAATGCCTATGAAAACCCAATGAGTAGCTATTGTCTATTTTTTACTAACTGGCTTAGAAAAGTTCCACAAACTGTCCGAGGCCACACAGCTAGCAGCTAGTAAGAGGGAGAACTGAGATGAGAATTCAGTTCTCATAACCTTGTGGTTATACTTGTTAAGGGTTTAAAATTCAGGGAGTATGTATACAGTGAAGAAAGATAAAAGAAAAGATAAAGAATCAACTATTGATTAAAGCCTTGGATTTCAGAGGAGAAACAACATGACTCTAGTGACCATACCAGCAGTAGTATTTATTCTGAGGAAGTGAGAGCCAATGATATGCTATGCATGTACTACATCAGTTTTTTTTTTTTTTTTTAACAATTTCAGTAAATACAGAACTCTCTCCCTGCTTTTCCCAGCCACCTCACTGGCTGACACAGAAAATATAATTTGGGAGACAAAAAACTAGTTGAAGTTTCTCAGACACCACATATATGCATATACATTTGCATTATACACATATAATGAGTGTGTGTGTGTGTGTGTGTGTGTGTGTGTGTGTGTGTCCATAGCTAAGCTGTGTTCTTATTGTTGAAAGAAAATTCTGCTTGCAAGACTAATAGATTTTTTTTCTTTTTGGAATAATGGGCCAGCATTATTTTTGAGGTACTTCCATCAAGGAAACAATTAAGTTTTCTAGCCACCAGAAACTGAGCTTTTAAGATATCTTTCCTCCTATAAATTTTTTGTGTTTTCTGTAATTAAAAATAAAGCAGTACTCATGGTAAATGTGTCACATTATATTAAAACAGTGAGACAGAATAACAAAAACTACACAGGGTAAATGGATAGGTTTGTTAAAATTGAAGGCTACAAAATCTCGTATTGGACTAAAAGCTATTTTTCTAGAAAAAAATGTGATAAAAAGAGTATAAATTTTTCTCACTAGCATTCTTTCTTGTTGTTTATTTAATTCTCTTTGGGCCATTGTTAAATACAAACAAAATTTGGTTTGGGGCGAGTTTTGTAATATAATTTTTAGAGACTGTTACTTGATAAGCATACACATTTTGATAAAGACAATGATCAAATATTGTTTTTGCCTTTATAAATGTGAGGTCATCAATGATTATATCTGTGAATTAGGCAACTGGATTATAAAAAAAAAAGAAAGGAGAGAAACTAGCTTGCTTTAGAATTTTTAAAGAAAGTACGTCATTCAAAGTGGTGAAGAGAGAGTATAGGATTCTAAGGTATGGTTATTTCACAGCGAAGAGGTATCTATCCCTTTTCAGAAATATTTATTGAGAAACTTCTTTTGCTTTATGGCCCACCATGCTGTTATTATTGTGGCTTTTGTCAAGACACTGTCTCTGTATTTATACTGACTATTGAATAGATACCACTGAAAGTTAGTTTGACACCTTATTTGGGAGATTAATATACTACTCTACTTAATTGCTTTGCCTACGGTTTGTGATGCTTCATATTCATTGGTAGAAATTAAAAGAAAGTTTAAGCAAACAGCCTGAATTTAGCCTAAGAACTAAAATTTTCCATTTCTGTAAATTCATTGTAATCACTTTTTTATTTATGGATAGCTTAAATAAATTTCATGACTACTAAAACATATATTATTTAAGACCATGAGATCAAATTTATTTAACATTTTAAAGAATTAAATGTATTAAAATCTTGAGTCAATAATTCTAAAATAGCCAGTGGGTAAAAATTGGAAAAAGCAAGATATTCTTAAATATTAAATTTTTCCTGATTTATTATAATCTCAGAGCCCAGAGTTCCTCTTAGTAGTTTATTGTAAGATGAAGATAAATTATACAATTAAAATTTATTTTGTTGTCTTCATTATCAACCTTAATGAGAAATATGTTCACATTGACTGAAGTAACCAGATTGAAAAGAGTAGTTGAGTTTGGGGAAAATTTTGCTCCCAGATATCTGTAGACAGCTAACTGATACTGTATAAATTATTTAGAAAACAATGAAAATGGCATAAAATGAGTTACACTTTTAAATGCCAGGTGATGGGTTGGAAAACCTTGAGTTACATAGATTGTACTTGAGATGTAAAAAAGTTTCCCTCTGTTCTATAAATATTACTTTTATCCCACTTGAAAAAAAGTTAATCACTATTTTTAAAAAGAAAGATTTATAATATAAATTGGAGGAAACTAATGAATAAATCAAAGGTTCGAGCTGTACATGCAGTTACTGTGATTTTAGTGTGTGTAATAAAATGCTGTGAAGCACACACTCACTTACGCAACAATAAGATGGATAATTGAGCCTCATAGTTAACAGAAAGGGACAACAAAAGTATATGTGATTTATACTCATGTCCATGAAAAGCCTTACATTTTTTGAATAAGGTCAATATCCTTTTGCTGAGAAACAACAGGAAAACAAACAATCTTAATGAAGTATAAATGTAAAGTTGGATGCTGAATACCCCAATTAGGACACATAAATTTGATGTGTTTGCTTAAAAATCAACAACAAACTAACATACAGAAAAATACAGATCTTTGATTTGCTATTATATTATTGCAAGCATAATTTCTCAAATTACAAGAAAAAGTAGTATTTTCTACAGCCAATAGGAAAATTACTCTGGAGGAAGAATAGGTTGTTGGGTAATGTTACCAAAGTCAGTTTGATTTACTGTTCTGTTGAAATTTTACCTTCATGTATTACTGAAAAGTTTAACAAAATATTAATATGCCATCATTGACAAATGAGATAAAAATCCAACTAGCCTTACAATAACCTCTAAATAAGAAAAGAACCTATAACTCTAAGACAGAAAGAACACCACTTCTCCAGAAATTAACATTTGGGTGGCGTGGCTGAGAAATTGGGTTTAGGTTAGAGAATTAGTGATGTTTGAAGAGGTAAGATTTGGATTATACTTATTTTTTTAATAGGCATTAAAAACATAATCTTCTACAATAGTAGACATACTGGCATATATGAAAAATCCATGCTTTAAAAAGATTAACATATACTATGTAGAAGGCACACTGCCTCACTATATATGCAAACACACCTTGGTGTTTTCATTCCATATTTTATCAATAAAGCTTTATTTCTATCTCAGATAGTGAAAAATATATAAATACTATATCGTTGTCAAGGTGGAAATATCTAGATTATTAGTATAGTAAGATTCGGGACCGACTTAAAGATGGCCTTAGACTTAATAGTGGTATTATGCAGCTTCATACTCTTTTTCTTCCCTAAAAACTTTAACAGATTTTGCTGGAATCAAAATGACAAATTCACTGGGAAAGGCATGTGCTGCCAGATAAAATAATATCAGTGAATATGGAAGCTTTCACGTAGTCCCCTCTTACAGGAGGAAAACAAACAAAAAACATGGGGAGCTATAACTTCACAACTTCTTTAGCAAGTCAAGAAATTAGTAAAGAGGAGTCATTGCAGAAAGAAAATATGTGGGCTGATATAATAAAGAGTAATTACTCACAAATAAGAGTATGGGGTTACATAATTCCCTCTCATAATAAAAGCAAAATTGTTTTTAAATTCTCAAGGGGAAAATGTTAGCCCTTAATTCAAATATTGAGTTACGACTAACCTCATTTACTTGGTTTTTCCTTAAAATTTTAACTGCTCACTTGTATATAATCCAGATTATCAGTCGTACATAGAGTATCTGAAACCTTATGCTTAACATAGGAACTGGGCTGTGCTATGATCTATACACTAGAAACTGGATAATGCCACAAACCCCCACATAATCTCCCAAAAGCTTACACAGGGATTGGTGCTAGTAATTGTCAATGCGTGCATATATAACAGTTTTCATTTTATGAAAAAGGCTGAAGGAAATTTATTCACACAGTTCTTTGTTGACAATCACAAGTGCTTGAGAATAAAGGTGGATTTATTTTTTTTTTAACACTAAAAGTATCTTGAGAGGCTTAGTTCTTGTCTCCAGTGCTATCTCACTTTCTGCAGTTCCTGTCTCAGCCACGATGGCAGAGGCTGTCCCAGTCTGTGTAGCAGTTTGGATAGTTCCACATTATGATCTCGGTAGTAATTAGAGAGGAACGTTCTAGACTGGAAAGAAAAAAAGAAGAACTTGAAAGAAGCTCTTTGTTTCATCAAACAGGATATTGTAATCTATATTTCTTAAGGAATATATCTACTACAGTATACGTGTCTACAACATATTATATTTCTTGTATTTTTCCTCAAATATCAGTTATTTTTACCTTTTGAAAATATTTGGCAAAGGTGTAGCTAAAAATAGAAATAGGACCAAGTATATCCTATATGGCGTATCTGTCATTACGGCACATATTTATTGTGGGATATATGAAGTCTACACAGAAAGAAAAAACGATGACAGGAGTGTAATACTAGAGATAAATGAGATAGGGACTGCATGAGGAATGAAATTTATGGAGGTAAGCTAGATAAATGTACATACATTTTTTTTTGAAAATTGGCCTGTAAGATAAAAATTGAATGTGAGCATAATCATAAAAACTAAAATTCACTATTACAAATAATAACTTGCAATATTATGCAAAATTTTTATACATTTACTCAGAGCTGAAATATATTTTTTTAGTCACTAAGAGCTTTTGGTTTCCAAAATATTATAAGGTCTCTGAAGCCTGATCCTTTTTGCAATTCTTATATTTCTAATCATGTTGCAGAGATGGGCCGTTATTAGAGAAATGCTAAAAAAAATATGAATGGTTTTAGTTTTATATTTATCTTTCATCTACACAGATTTCTGGAAAACAGGACATTTCTAATTGGACTTTCTTTCTGGATATCACCTATATTATAACCCAATTGGCAGATTTCCATCTCTTTGATAAAATTGGAGACGAACACTTTTCCTGTTGCTGGCATAGGTAACAATGCCTCCTTCATTGTTTTCCATTTGGTCCAAGATCCACCATCTCTCTTAAGCCCTCCTCAATATTTCAACACAAATGGTCTTTTACCACATAAAACTCCCTTAGCAACTTTTGTGTATACTGTGGAAATGGATTTAAGACAACTACATTTCATCTTGGAACGTTCACCAGGTATTTCATTATGTTTCTTCCCTTAAACCAGATTGTAAACACTTCACATTTCGGATAAGATGTTTATAGTAGTAGTGGGAACATTACATTTATTTCTTGGTGGATTAAAGTGATTTCTGAAACCCTTTTGAAGTTATTGAGTTCAAAAATGTAGCTTAAGGACCTTCTAGTATATCTATTTCCATAGTAACCCATGAATCACCTGCATCCCCCTTTGCCCACCTTGCCATAAGAGAAATATGTATGATACCTGGCTGAGCCAATTGCTGGCTGGTTTTCCAAGCCTGTTCTACCAGATAAGACATTTCTTCTCATATCCTCACTTCTATTGAAATATTTTCCTGCCGTTTTCTGGTTTCGTTTGTCATTGTTTTACGTTTTTATGTCCCTAATACAAATCAGTGGATATAACTAATTTATCCTGTAATAAATCTGAGCTCACAACTGTTTTATCTTTGTATTCTTTCCATTGCTTAGCCCACTTCCACCTGTAATGTAGGCCTTGAATATCTGTATTGAATATATAATAATGATACTTGAATATTTTATCCAAAATCACTTGTTTAGTAAACTATTTAAGTGCTTTAAGCATTTGGAAATGAGTCATTTTTTAGTAAATATTTATTTTTGAATTGCATTCAAACAGCAAATAATTTCTAGGAATGTATATTAATTTTAGTATCTATCTACCGATCTCTATCTATCTATCATTTCTATGTGTCAATTATCTCTATCATCCTCTAAGTATATAAAATTATTAATTGCAAAGGAAGAGCAGAAAAAGGAAGCAAATTTCTTGTTACTAGTTTTGAAATAGCTGTTTGCAAATATTTTTGCTAGAGTAATTCAAAGATTAAAAAATTATTACCTCTGGATCCATAGGTGGATATTTTCGGCCTTTGCTTTTTCCAAGGCATTTTGTCTTTCCTCCTTCCAGTAATTGACACCAAAAACCCTTTTGGGGATCAAACCTACAGTACATAAAACATAATGATTACAAATTGTATGCAGAATTTTCAGTGAGACAGCCTCACCAATTGAATAAAGGAAATGTATTTTTGTATGCCCACTGATTTAATTTAATTCATTTTTACAGATATTTATTTAGCTGATTTGAGAGAGGCTAACTGAGATGAAAGAAGCTATATGTTATTATATATTTTAAGTAGCTATACTATACTGAAAAAAGAAATAGATCTTTAGTTTACTTTTACATGAACATTTTTAACTTAAGTTCCTTAGCTTACCTATGCATCCATAAAAGATCAAAGACCAATAACTGAAATTACAGCCAATATATAAAGGAACTTTAGGATACTTTATTTACTTATGGATGTGATTTCAAAGATATGTTAACAGACTTATTTGAAATCATTCACTGGTATATATTAAAGGGGTTGAATGTAATGTAGGTATACTTCTGTGAATATAAACATGAATTAAAGCTTTCAGTTCAGAAATTATTGCATTTTTTACAGTTCAAAATGCTTACACTTTTCAAAAAACAAATTAGAAGTGTAAAAATAAAGTGGAAGATTAGACAACCTCTT